>NC_000004.12:136800168-137103199 GCF_000001405.40 Homo sapiens | reverse complement strand
TATTTTGATTATTGTGGCTTTGTGGTGAAGTTTGAAATCTGGAAGTGTGAGTCCTCCAACTTTGTATTTACTTTTAAAGATTGTTTTGGCCACTTGGGGTCCCTTGAGAGTTTATATGAACTTTAGGAAAAGTTTTTGTATTCCTACAAAAATGTCACTGAGTTTTTGATAGCAGGTATATTGAATCTATAGATGGGTTTTTGTAGTATTGACATCTTAATATTATATTAAGCCTTCCAATACATAAATATGGAATGTCTTCCCATCCATTTATTTATATCTTTAATTTCTTTCAGCAACGTGTTATAGTTTTAATTGTACAAGTCTTTTATTTCCTTGATTAAGTTAATTCCTTATTATTTCATTCTTTTTGATGCTATTATAAGTGGAATTGTTTCCTTAATTTCATATTTTGATTGTTCATTTTTATTATATAGAAATGCAACTAATTTTTGTATACTCACCCGTGTCCCGCTGCTTTATTTAATTCATTTATTAGTTCTAACAGGCTGTTTTGTAGAGTCTTTAGGGTTTTCTACATATAAGAACATGTCATCTGCAAACAGATATTTTACTTCTTTCCCCATTTACATGCATTTTATTTCATTAAATTCTGGCTAGAATTTCCAGTATGTTGTTGAATAGGAGTGGCCAAATGGGTACACTTGCCTTGTTCCTGATTTTAGAGAAAAAGGTTTCTATCTTTCATCACTGAATATCATGTTCACTGCAGGTTGTTTGTTTGTTTGTTTTGAAACAGAGTCTCGCTCTGTCACCCAGGCTGGAGTGCAGTGACGCTGTCTCAGCTCACTACAACCTCTGCCTCCCGAAGTCAAGCGATTCTCCTGCCTCAGCCTCCTGAGTAGCTGGAATAACAGGCGTGCGCCACCACACCCAGCTAATTTTTGTATTTTTAGTAGAGATGAGGTTTCACCCACGTTGGTTAGGCTGGTTTCCAACTCCTGACCTCAGGTGATCCACCCACCTCAAAATATAACTTTTTAAATGTTGATGTAGTTTTCTTCTATTCCTAGTTTGCTAAGTGTTTTTTATTATGAAAAGATATTGAATTTTGACAAATGTATTTCCTCAATTGCAATTATTCTATTTTTTCCTTTATTCTATTAATGTGATATATTATATTAATCCATTTTTATATCTGAAACCATTCTTAAATTCCAGAAATAAATCCCACTTTGTGGTGTATAATTATTTTAATATGCTGCTAAATTTGGTTTACTAATATTTTTTGAAGAGTTTAGTATTAATGTTGAGAAATGATATTGATTTTTCTTTTCTTGTACTGTCTTTGTCCATCTTTGGTATTAGGGCAATGCTGGCCTCAAAGAATAATTTAGAAAATATTCCCTCCTTTAATTTTTTCAGAAAGTTCTAGAATGATTGGTGTTAGGTTTTTTTTTTTATGTTTGATATTGATAGAATGTATTGGTGAAATCATCAGATGGTGTTTTTTTTTTTCTGTTTCAGGAGATTTTTTATTTATAGGTCTATTTAGAGTTTTGATTTTTTTAATATTTAATCTTGGTAGATTTTCTATTTCTTGGAGTTTATCCAGTCGATCTAGGTTAACAAACTTGTTGGCACATAATTTTTATAGTACCCTCTTGTAATCATAATACTGGAAGTATTGTCCTCACTTTCATTTGTGACTTTAGTAATTTGAATCTTTATTTTGTTTCTTAGTCTATCTAAAGGTTTGTAACTTTATACTTCTTTCCAAAGAACTAAGTTTTGGTTTAATTGATTTTCTCTATTTTTTTTCCTGTTATTTCATTATATATGCTCTAATCTTTATTACTTCATTCCTTCTGTAATTTTGTATTTAGTTTGTTCTTTTTTTAGTTCTTGAAGTTGTAAAGATAGATTGTTCACTTGAGATCTTTCTGCTTTTTAAATGTTTTAATGTTTTTAACTGTTATTTTAGGTTCAGGAGTACATGTGCAGGTTTGTTCCATAGGTAAACTTGTGTCATGGGGATTTGTTGCACAGATTATTTCATTATCCAAGTATTAAACCTAGTACCCATTAGTTATTTTTTCTGATTCTCTCCTTCCTCTCACTCTCCACCCATAAATAGGCCCAAGCAAGTGTTGTTCCTCTCTGTGTGTCCATGTGTTCTCATCATTTAGCTCCCACTTATACGTGAGAACATGTGGCATTGGGTTTTCTATTCCTGCATTAGTTTGCTAAGGATAATGGCCTCCAGCTCCATCCACGCTCCTGCAAAGAACACGATCTTGCCCTTTTTTATGGTTTCGTGGTATTCCTTGATGTATATGTACATTTTCTTTATCCATTCATCCATTGATGGACAACTAGATTTATTCTATGTCTTTGTTCTTGTTAATAATGCTGTTCACATGCATGCGCCTTTATGATAGAATGATTTATATTTCTTTGGGTATATACCCAGTAATGGGATTTCTGGGATGAATGACAGTTCTGTTTTTAGGTCTTTGAGGAATCATCACACTGTTTTCCACAATGGTTGAACTAATTTACACTTCCACCAACAGTTGCAGGGTTTTTTTCCATGTGCTTGTTGGTCGCATGTATGTCTTTTTTAAAAAAGTGTCTGTACATATATTTTGCCCACTTTTTAATGGGGTTGTTTGTTTATAGATGTAAATTTCCCTGCTAGAACTGGTTTTGACAAACACCGTAAGTTTTCGTATGTTGAGTTTTCATTTTTATTTGTCTAAAGGTATTTTCTAAATCCCCTTGTGATTTTTTATTTTATCTACTGGTTGTTTAAGAATGTGCTGCTTAATGGCCGGGCGCGGTGGCTTACGCCTGTAATCCCAGAAATTTGGGAGGCCGAGGCGGGCGGATCACGAGGTCAGGAGATCCAGAACATCCTGGCCAACACGGTGAAACCCCATCTCTACTAAACTTACAAAAATTATCTTGGTGTAGTGGCACACGCCTGTAATCCCAGCTACTTGGAAGGCTGAGGCAGGAGAATCGTTTGAACCCAGGAGTCGGAGGTTGCAGTGAGCCAAGATCGCCACTGCACTACAGCCTGGCGACAGAATGAGACTCCGTCTAAAAAAAAAAAAAAAAAAAGAATGTGCTGCTTAACTTAAACAAATTTGTTTGTGCATTTTCCAGTTTTCCTTCTGTTACTGGTTTCTAACTTCGTTTAGTTATATAGTCAGAGCAGATACTTTGTACCGTATCTATTTTTGAAGGCTATTGGGACTTAATTTGTGGCTCATATCATAATATGGTCTATCCTGGAATATGTCCCATATTCACTTGAGAAGAATATGTGTATTCCGTTATTGTTAGGCAAAGTGTTCTGTATATGTCTGTTGGATCTAGAGGGTTTATTGCATTATTAAAGCCTTTTTTTCTTTACTTATCTCCTGTCTGGTCTATCATTAGTGAAGGTAGAATTTTGAAGTCTCCAAGCATTGTTGTAGAACTTCCTATTTCTTCCTTCAATTCTGTCCATTTTTGTTTTATATGTTTTGGTCTGTGATTAGGTGTGTACATGTTTATAATTCTCGTATCTTATTATTGTATTGAAACTTTTAATATATAGTATTCTCTAGCTCTTGTAAGCTGTTTCAATTTAAAGCTTATTTTGTCTGATAGTAATATAGCCACCTATATGCTCTTTTGATTACTATTGATATGCAATATTCTTTTCCACCCATTCACTTTCAACCTGCACATGTCTTTAGATCTAAAATATCTTGTGGATGGCAAATAGATGGATCATGGTTGTTTTTAAATTCATTCTGAAGTTTTTGTCTTTTGATTGGAGAGTTCAATCTATTTATGCTTAAAGTAGTAGGTGATAAGAAGGGACTCTGTCACTCTGTTATTTGTTTTCATATGTTTTATAACATTTTTGTCTTTCATTTCCTGCATTAATATCTTCTTTTGTGTTGTTGGTTTGTAGTAAAAGATTTAAATTATTTTCTTATTTTCTTTTGTGTATATTCTTTAGCTATTTCTTGGTGGTTACCATGGGAGTACTTTTAACACAATAAAGTTAAAACGCTCTAATTTAAATTTATGCCAGTTTAACTTCAGTAAGATATAAAAACTTTGCTTCTTTATATCTTTATCCCCAGCCCTTTAAGTTGTTGTTTTGAAATATTACATCTTAACACATTGTGTGTCCGTAAACCTAAACTAATATGTTTAGATGTTATTAGCTTCTTAAATTGTGTAGAAAACAAACATGAAGTTACAGAGCATTGTTATAATAATACTAGTTTTCATAATTGCCTATGTATTTACTTGTATTGAAATCTTTATTTAGTTATTTCAGCTTCAAGTTACTGTCTAGTGACCTTTCATTTCATCTGCAAGATTCCCTTTAGCATATTGCAGAACAGGTTTATTGGGAATGATCTCCCTCAGGTTTTGTTTATCTGGGAATGTCTTAATTTCTTCCTCATTTTTGATTGACAGTTTGCTAGATATAGGATGCTCAAAATTGCCTTAACTTTCTCTAATAAACTTTTCATTTCCGTAATTGTGCTTTTCAGCTCCAGATTTTCTTTTTGGTTGATTTTTAGGTGTTTTATCTCTTTATTTATATTGTTATTTTGTTCAGGCTGATTTTTAGCTTTCTGTATGTCTTCCTTGAATTCTTTAAGCATCTTCAAAAGGGTTGCTCAAAAACTTTGGCTAGTAGATTCTCCATCAGGTATTTTGCAGGAGCAGTTCTTGTTGCTATAATGTATTTTCCCTTGGATGGACCATACATTTCTGTTTCTTTGTGTGATCTGTGATTTGTTTTGTTGTTATTGAAAACAGTATTTGATTTCAATAATATGATGACTCTGAAAATCAGAGACTTCCCTTTCTCTAGGGTTTGCTCCTTTTGTTTGTATCACTATAGGCTGCCTCCGTATTGAGGATCAGCTTGAGTTATAACCTTAAACTCTTTACAGGTCTTTTCTGAGGTGGCTTCTTTCCTTGGGCATGTACAGTAACTTTCTGTTTTCCTCCATGTATGTGTTTGTTTTTGAAAGTGTTGTTCCTTAATGTTTGGTGACTAAGTGAGAAAAAATATGTGAAAGTTTTAAAAAGGCCCTGGCCTATGAAATCTCCTGAAAATCACTTCAGTGGGAGGGGTAGGGTCTCACAACAATGGCGAGAGGTGCAAAAACAACAGTCACTTGCTTTTGTGTTTGCATCTTAATGATCAGAAGCATCAATCAAAGATTAGAACACAGATCCCTTGTATTTGGAAGACAGAGTCCTTTTTCCAACCTGGACTCTCAAAAACTTTGTGTAAGCCACTCCTGCAATGTGCACTGCTGCTTGCCATTGGGGTGGGAGAGGATTGACAGTTGATACTGTGATAAGAGTTGAAATTGACTGAAATTAATGGCTATTTACCTTTCAGGTCTTCCCTTAGATGTTGCAAGCCTTCAATGGACTCTAGAGTTCCAAAACAGTTATATCAGATGGTTCTCCCAGTGCAATTGTTATCTAGGTATGAAGAAAGATTCCTGGTACTTCCTACTCTGCCATTTTCTAAGAATCATTCTCTGTATATAATTTTTCTATAAAAAAAAGAGTTTGCAATTAATATGATTTGTAATTATATATAAATGAATAAACTAAGAGAGATGTTTACACTTTTGTTAGGCATAGTATGTTAGCCTGTTTTTATACTGCTATAAAGAACTGCCTGAGACTGGGTAATTTTTAAAAGAAAGAGGATCAACTGACACAATTTAGCATGGCTGGGGAGATATCAAGAACCTTACAGTCATGGCAGAAGGTGAAGAGGAAGCAAGTCACCTTCTTCACAAGGTGGCAGGAAGAAGTGCTGAGAGAAGGGGGAAAAGCCCCTTGTAAAACCATCAGATCTCATGAGAAATCATTCATTATGATGAGAACAGCATGGGGGAAACTGCCCCCATGATTCAGTTACCTCCACCTGGTCTCTCCTTTGACACATGCGGATTATGGGGATTAAAATTCAAGATGAGATTTGGGTGGGTACACAAAACTTAACCATATCACTCAGTATACTTATCAGCTGGCCAGAAGAACTTTTATCAGCTATTAAATTCCAGGAAGACATAATCAATAAAGAAAGAGAGTATTGAATATATGATGTGAGAAAATGATTCATTTTGGGGGGAAGTAAGAATGAAAACAAAAGAAAAATATAATTTTATGAGCCTTACAATTTTCAATAAGATTGACCCTGCTGAACTTCATTTGATTGGGGAGTAATACATTCTTTTTTCAGAGACAACTTTGTGAAATAATGTATGTAGAAAGTTCCAAATCACAAACCTTATCAACGTATTTATGTTGAGTTTGTTTTTATTTATTTTTCTGGGGAGGAGGGTTATTCATTTGATTGTTTTCAGCAAGGCTACCATTCTCTTAATGGGTTTGTTTACTTAGTGAATCACAATACTCATATCACATTGAACCACAATAAAATCAGAGGACATTGGCAGAATCAATAAGGAAATTTTAAATTATCTTTCTTCACTTTGTTTTCAGGACACATGCTCTCACCTTACCTTTATTGACACATCTAAGGTACTTCCCTTTTGAATTGCCCTCATCCCAGGATCTAAATATTGGAATTTCCCACGGCTCAGTTGCTGACTGTTTTATTCAATTATTCTTATTTCATAGACAATCTCATCTAGATCTAAGTTACTGATTATTCACTATATTTTTATTACTGATGGCTTTAAAATTTGTATCTTCAGTGTAACCACATACTTTAGCATATACATAGGCACAAAAAGAAGATTCTAGGAGAAGCACTACTGTCTTAGGTGATCCCATCAAGTCTCATGATTTAAAATAATATCTTAACCAGGAATAAGCAAACTTTATTGTCAAATGGTAAATAATGAGGCTATTGGATCACACTGTCTCAATCACAACTGTGCAACTTTGTCAATGTAGTGTGAAAGCAGCCATAGGCAATAGGGAAACTAATAGGCATAACTGTGTTTCAATAAAACTTTATTCATAAAAAAAGGTGGTGGCATAGATTTGACCCATGTTTCATACTTTATCCTAATCTATACCATCTAAATTCTAATAATTCTCAATTATATATGTTTATCTATGATATTACCTCATAGCACTGGATACGTATATTTAAGTGTCTACTAAATATCTCTGCACAAATATCCAGTACTTAGCTCAAACTTAAACTCTTCCACAGTAGCATACCTGATATCTTCCTCACATCTCGGTCATTCAGTGTTCATATCTTAGTAATTAGCAGCCCCAGATACCTACTTGTTCAAGCCAAAAATCTTGGAGTACCTGTTTGATCTCTCTCTTTCTATCTCTACCCTCATCCCATCCATCAGTAAGGTGTGCCATCTGTATTCTCAAAATATGTAATGAATCTGACAACTTTTCACAATCTTAACCCTTCCACTCCCCTACCACCACCAAGTACACAAGACCGTCATTTTACTCACACTTTAATGCAACAGCCTCTAACTGGTCTCCTTACTTCTAATATTTCTCCCATTTTGTGAATTTTCTACAAAGCAGGTGAGACTTGTGCTTTAAAGAATAAATACAGATTATGTCTTTTTCTTGATCAAAACTCTCAAATGGCTTCACTTCACATTCATAACAACTTCCAAATACCTTATCATGGACCTATGTAAGTCTGTTGGTGTCGTCACTTTCTAGCTTTCTCCTTCCTACTCCTAATTTTGCTGTAGTCATAGTTTTCATTTTACTTTCTTGAAGGTGCCAAATTAATTTTTACCCCAGGTTCTTTGTACTTACTCTTTCTCTTTTAATAGTGAACTTTATTGAGACTTTCATCTGGCTTGTACAAACTTCAGGAAGTTCCTGAGACTACTTCAGGTTTTCATAATTCATTAGAAAGACTTATAGAGCTGAGAATAGCCATTATACTCATGAATGCATACTGTTACACTGAAAGGATATTGATTAAAACTAGCAACAGAAAAACAGGGCAGAATTTAGGATAACCAAAGGTAGAATTTTCATTTGTCCTCATAGTGGTATCATGTGGACAGTGTTCATTTCTCCCTAAAACAGCACTTGATGATATGCATAAAATGTTGTCAACATAAGAATGCTATACTAAGCATTAATATCCAAAGATTTTATTGGGGATGCATCAGATACACAAGGCTGAACACTCACACTACTGACCTTAGACTCCAGCCCCTTTAGAAGTTGAGCTGTTACTCTGTGGCCCAAGACCCCCTATAATAAATCACATCATTAATATAGAATATTTAGCATGGTCCCAGGCCCTCAGGAAAACAAAGTCATTCATAAGATGGAACTTTTCAAGGACTTAGAGGTTACCTCCTAGGGGTGGGAGCAAAGAGCCACTTTTCTTTGGGCACCATTAATCTTTTACTGCACAGCTTGCTTCCTCATTTTATCCAAGTCTCTCTGATGAACACTTACTGGAACACCTTCTCTAACTTCATAATGTAAAATGTCCACTAGCTCCATCACTCCCCACCATTCTGCTTTATTCTTTTCCTCATGTCCCTTACTAAAAAATGACATGCTTATGTATTCATTTATTTGTGCTTGTCTACTGAAGTAGAACATGAACTTCATGAGGGCAGAATTTTTCTCTCGTTTACTATTACATCTCCATGGAGTAGGCCCAGAAAAGGTATTTTCAATGAGTGAATCTGAAACATACTCTACTTATGTATTTATGAATCTATATATCTATATCTATAGTAATCTCTTGAACAATGTCTAATATATAATTAATATTTTGGGGGAAGAAAGAAAACCAAAACTCATAAATTATTTTTAATACCCTAGTATTTTCTAAATCACATGGAGTCTAAAATATAATGTTTGTTTTATTCTATATGAGGGATCATCAGCTTTTGATAAATGTCATAGTCTCAGAATTTTAAATAAGGATTTGTTATTTTATAATTTAAAATATTTTTAATATTTTAATAATTTAAAATAAATTGTTGATTTAAACTGTGTTTAAGTTTTTTGAAATGTAGTGTTTTATTTCACTAATAGAAGTAATAGATTAGTTTTTTAGATCTCTTTCATGAAGACTAGAAATCAATATTATTTCTTCATTACATATCAAATTGTATAATTTATTTTTTAAAAAGTAAAAAGTAAACTATTAGTGTTATATGCAAGATCATTTTAAGAAAATAATTTTTTCCCAGCATATGGGGAAAGATTGGGATAAATAGCACTTATGTGGACATCACCAAAAAATTCACATACAGAAAAAATATGTAACACAATTGCTCAATCCTAAATATAAATTTGAGCAGGCACTGAGTATGTCCTTTGGAGGGAAATATACTAACACTCATATATTTTTATTATTCTGGTTTTTCCACTAATTGTAAAAGAATTACTAGGTATTTTATTACACTCTCCTCTGTAGAAAGCCTACTTAGTATCTTTCTATTCAAAGAAATCCACAAGAGTGGGGCAATAATGATACAAGATACCTTGAGCTGAAAATTTTACATTACCTCTTACTGAGTAATATAGTATTTAAATAAGTTTTTTTCTCTGTCTATGAGAAAATTAGCTTTTGCTTATGTTAGTGACAGAAGAGGAAATTGTCGCAGAGAACAAGCAATTTTGTGTGACGCTCACAAAAGAGGGAGGACATCTAACAAGCAACATAAAGGTCATCTGAATATTTGATTTTTAAGGGAGATAAAAGTAATTGTGGTAATTAGCATTTGTAATATTTATTTGATTACATAAATCATCATAAAAGCCTTCATGTTGCCTTTATAGAACTAAATGACATCTAATACAAGTCAGATTCTACATTAGAGAAAAATAACTAGTCTAAATGGTGAAAGTGATTTGGAGGTTAGCAAAAAAAAAAAAATACAATTTTACCTTTGGTATTTTGTAGACTTATAGAACTGATAGAAACATTAAATATTACCAAATTCAAAATTCTAACGTTTCAGATGAGAATCAGAAAAGCTTATCTTAGTACTGGAAAAGGTGCTCACAGATGGAAGCCTCATCTTTATTAACTGTTAAATGCAAGCAAAATGTGGTAAATAGTTTTGTAGCTTGTGAAATATGTTCTAGGTTTTTAGGTTGCATACAATTTTGTACTTTAACCAAGTCATCATCCAGTCCTTGTTTTTAAGCCTCATTTTGTCTTCTGTATGCAAGTATTCCCCTTAAATACCCCTGTGATTCTTTTGTCCTTGGAAGACCAACCCCTATATGTCACCCCAACCACCTATCATAATTACCAATTGCTTCATTTCTCTGGGCTGCCATTGCACTAAGCTTGAAACCCTATAACAGTACATGCTTTTAAATTTTTTAAAATTTGTTTGCTGAGCATATCCTCCACAGCACCACCAGTGGAATCTTCTTGGGAAAAAAAACACCACATTCGATTCCAAGTTTAAGAACCACTTTCTACAAGTGAATGAATAGAAGGTTATTAATTTTGCCTGACAGAATAGGTTACAATAAGAAGTGACACCTAAACAACCTGTTTAAAAATGTTCTCTGGTACGCAATAGCCTACATTAAAAAAAAAAAAAACTTCTAAATCTCTATATAGCATTTAAATTGTAATGTTTGGTTTTATCCAAGTCTTCTGATTTTCATTCGTGCAGAAACTTTGGTCTCTCACAACCCACATGCGGCCATGACTTGGTATCTTTAACATGTCATTTGCTCATTCCTTTGCTCACACTCCTCTCTCCAGACCATGCAGTGGGCTCTTAATAATAATTCCAGTCTAAGCTGGAGTGTGACTTTCTTGCTGAGAATTGCCTCATTCACTCAGGCATAGTCACTGTTTTATTTCTCATAACATTTTGAGAATTATGAGTAGCTTATTACACTTTTAGTAAAAGTTGAAATTCTTTTTTTTAATTATTATTACACTTTATAGGGTACATGTACACAACGTACAGGTTTGTTACATATGTATACATGTGCCATATTGGTGTGCTGCACCCATTAACTCATCATTTACATTAGGTATATCTCCTAATGCTATCTCTCCCCGCTCTCCCCACCCCACGACAGGCCCCGATGTGTTTGTTTCCCACCCTGTGTCCAAGTGTTCTCGTTGTTCGGTTCCCACCTGTGAGTGAGAACATGCGGTGTTTGGTTTTCTGTCCTTGAGATAGTTTGCTCAGAATGATGGTTTCCAGCTTCATCCATGTCCCTACAAAGGACATGAACTCATCCTTTTTTATGGCTGCATAGTATTCCATGGTGCATATGTGCCACATTTTCTTAATCCAGTCTATCATTGATGGACATTTAGGTTGGTTCCAAGTCTTTGCTATTGTGAATAGTGCCGCAATAAACATATGTGTGCATGTGTCTTTATAGCAGCATGATTTATAATCCTTTGGGTATATACCCAGTAATGGGATGGCTGGGTCAAATGGTATTTCTAGTTCTAGATCCTTGAGGAATCACCACACTGTCTTCAACAATGGTTGAACTAGTTTACAGTCCCACCAACTGTGTAAAAGTGTTCCTATTTCTCCACATCTGTTATTCTTTATAAACTCTCTCCTCCGGACATGTCCTAATGCTCTTGTCTTAAAGTTTTCCACTGGCTACTCCTGCCTTCAGTGACCTCCATGCATACATCCACATAGCTATTGTCTTCACAACCTTCCAATCTTTGCTCAGATTCTGCCTTCTTAACGAGACGTATCTTGACAACCATAGTTTAAATTGCTATTGTGTACCAATCTGTTTTATGACATCCATTTCTTCATAATATTTATTATTTTGTAGAAAACTACACAATTTATTTATTTCATTTATTTGTTAATGGTATAACCACCCATTAAAATGTAAGTTCCATCAGGGGAAAATGTTGTTTTGTCTGTTTTTTTTCCCCATTGATGTGTACCAAACCTATTGAATGATGCATTTTTAATAAATATGTATTGACTAAATGAAAGAGGAAATCTGGAGCAAGATGCTTTGCCACCTTAGCCTCTATTTCCCTGTATTCAAAGCAGAGGTCACGAGAATTCCTAAGTGAGAAGGCTATTGTGACTAATAAATGAGATAATGCCTTTAGAGCAGTCAGCGCAGTGTCTGACTCATCATCTTCAATTAATAATGCTAGCTCCCGTTGTTAATCATGTTATTATTTTCCAAATTTTTAGAATTCAGAAACCTAAGTTGTTAATTATTAATTGTACACAAATGAAAAAAGTAAAGGAGAAAAATCTAGGAAAAGTATCTGTAGGTAGAATTTATAATATAGTTATATATTTTTTACTTCACAAAAGTGAACAATGATATTTTATGGCATAAAATAATACCTGAAATATTAAAGTATTAACAAAAGTATTTTTAAAAAATTCCAATTATTCCTTTTATAGCAATATAAAGAATGCAATTCATCATTTGTTTGAACTTATTAGAAGTATTAGTTTAACACCATGTTTGTCAAAACTTATCTCACAATAAGTAAAATACCATTAAAACTTAGGACATATATATTTGTTTTTTTAATTTTTAAAAACAACCTCAGAGTGGTATACATAGTCTTAAAAAATAAATTATATGTTATTGATAGAGTTAAACTCAGCAATTGTTTGCCCTAACCTTCTGCATGCCCAGCTCTGCTCACTGAGGCTGTATTAATGTCTGCTCAGAGCTGTTCTGTTGCTTGCCTTCACATAGCTAACACATATGTTTATACTGTTATTTTCTGATTCATCGACTATAGATATTTTTCTATTGTCCTTGGCTTGTGATAGATGAGCTATTAACTTATTTCTCTACCCTCAACTCCCCTCCCACCTTCTTTATTCCAATTCTTGATAATTTTAATATCCTAAAAACTTTCAATTAATTTTTCTTGTTACTTTTTTAGAAAACCTACTGAAATGTCCAAATTTTAACAACTATAAACATCATGTTTCCAATTTCTATTTTGTGAGAGAAGCATGTTAGTGCCTCTATCCTCACATTAATTTTCACTTTAAGACTGATAATATTTATATCCTATTATGTTACAAATAGTTAACTGTGTTTTGCTTTCTGCACAGTTTGATCCTAAAAGTTGAAAATTAAAAATTGGTTTATTATGATGATTGTGTAACTGTTGTTCGATTCAGAACGAAGTATTGTACATAGTTCCATTTCCTCTTCTAGTTTCTAATGTCACTGCAGCTGTGCCGTTCAATAGTGAATAGTCTTACTGTCAATGGCAAGTGTATTTTTACTTTTTATATTTCACTAACTCTTAAAATCATGCTGACTTTGTGTTTACATGTTTTTGAACTATGACTATATTTTACAACAGTATAATCGTCAATCAACAATCGCTGATTACAGTTGTTTTTGGTTCTTCATAGAACCCTAAGTCCTAACATCTTTTAGATAGCTGGATAGTCATCTCCTAAAAACCAATTTACCATATAGTTTTAATTTACTAGCATTTAACTTTTCCTCATAGCAGCATTTAAAAAGGACTTAACTGACCTCTCCCCCATTCCCTACTGTTGCTTTAGGAGAATAAGGGGTGAAAAGAAGTTGAGAATTAGGCCTTAAAAAAATATTCACTATTTTTGTTTTTTTCTCTCACTTTTCCAGAATCGATGTGCAAATAATTTCCTTGGGAGGAACTCTTTATGTAAGTAAATGTCGAATAATTTTGCATTAATGAACTTTGCTTATCAAGTAAAAATTGATTAATAATTTGTTGAGATATAGAATTCTAGATTTTATCACATTTTCCCTCTCTGCTTTGAGACCTTGCTCCGCTGTCTGCTAACATTTCCTCTCACTGATGAAAAACATAATGCTGTTCTGATTCTGGTTTCCTCAAAGTTCACTTGCCTGTTGTTTTATTGTTTGCTGTCTGAAACCATTGGGAAAATTATTTTTGCCTTTAATGTGTAACATTACACAATAATTTATGTACATGTGATTTATTTAAGTCATATTTGGTGTTCAATGCTCAGTTAATCTGTTGCTCTTTTATAGAATTGTTTCCCTTCTATACAGTTATTTCTGTGTTCAAAGTGGCAGTTAGTTTTTCAAAAACACTTTCTTATTTTTTCCCCTTTCCTAATTCCCTGTCCTTGTGTTACAAAGTTAAAGCTTCTTGAATTTCTAGAACATCTTGAAATCCTCTGAACATACTTACACACACACACACGTGCACACGCATCTCCTTATAACATTCTTTGCCTTTGAAGGTAGACTTGTTTATTCTGATCTTTCTTTCTGAATCCTCAGACTTTTTTAACCCTATTTTTTTTTTAATAATGAAGGAATAAGTTTAACCGGATGCTTGAAGTTAACAGGCAGAATGTGGCAACCCATGGCATTACTTTAGTGTCAGTTGCTATGGAATAATAACAAGGACACTGTTTTAACATGGTGATATACACATTAACAGTTTTATTTGTATCCTGAGAGTGTATTCACTTTTTAAAAGAATATTTTGAATTAGGATAAGGGGCTTCATTTTCAGTCTTCTAGTCAAGTGTTTGTACATATGTTTGGGTGTATACCAATACACAACACATCACAAAGCATTTGTGAGAGAGAACTAAATTCATCCTAAATTTCAAGTTCACATTTTATTACGGCCTTCATTTATAGATTTATAATGAATATTCTAAATTAGAGAATGCTGCCCTCACCTCTTGATCTATAGATTTCTAGAAGAAAGAGAAATTTATTTGTTCCTATGTGTGTGAAAGATCTACAGAGAAGGGAGTATCTCTGTAATTAATGCTTTTCTAAAACAATACCATTAATCTTTTTTTCTGAAACTATTAAAATGAATTGTGAATATTTTATAACAAATTAAACATAGCAGTTTTTCATTAGATGGGACAGAGAAGCTACAGTGGCATGTGAAAGATTTTTGGAAATTTATTTTCCAAACAGCTTACATAATTAAATTGAATGCAAAGAAGAAATTATCTGTCATTTTTTCCCTTACAATTGTGTTGAATTGCCAAAAGTGTCTAATTAAACAAAGATCATGGAAACATCAACACCTCAATTCATTATTTATGCAAACATTTGTAGAGACGAAAATTGTAAATTAACATTATATCAAGTTCTACAAATATTGTCTAACTCATGTTTACAGATCGGTATTAGATTTTGTGAGACTACTGTTAGCACATATAATTAAAGATCAGAAGATTTAGTATTTACCATAGAAAATAAAGAGCGAACAGATAAGAGTAAGCTATGGTTTATTATCTTTTTATTTTTCATTAGAAGAAATATTTTAGGTAAGTGCAATTCAAGCTTTAAACCTGGTTAAGTAGTTTAAATGATTTCTGGTAAGAAATTATTTGAACTTGACTTCTGAGTTAGCCATACTTCTTTCTAAAATGTAGCTATCAAATTATGGGCTTTTTTGTTTTCATATTCACTGGAAGTATATTCTACATCTTATTTTGATGTAATAGAGAATAGTTAACTTTTGTTGGGAGCTAAACTGTACCATTTTTCCATTTATTAACTCTTTTATTCTTCACAGTCCTATGAGAGAGGTGCCATTATTATCTCAATTTTAAAAACTAGGACATTGAGGCAGAGATGTTAAGCAATTTGTTAAGGAAGGCCACACACATAGGAATCAAACACCAGAGGCCATGTTTGTCCTGCCTTTCACCATGTAGGTCTCATTTAATGACATTTACATATTTTATTTACTTTTCATACAGTACTACCAGTTAGACGTGTTCCCCAATTGTCAGATGAGGAAACTGCAGCCCAGAGAGGTTAATAAATTTCTCCCATGACACTCAGCTATCAAGTGGTAGAGGTGGAATAGCATTTTCAGAGAAAATTCCATCACTCCACTAGAATGCAAGATCAATGAGGGCAGTGATTTCACATGGAAACTACTAAGAGTGTTAGTCCTGGAAATTGTAATTATAGCACAAATGTATATTTATGACAGCCAAAATATTATGTTATTTTTAATTGGAAGTGGTATCATGGATAAATATTCCATAGTATCTTATATTCGACTGGAGCATATACAAATCATACAATCATATCTTAAATACAATACATATCATTGTATAGAGATATCATTACATATTATTGTGTAGAGAACTCTAAGAAAACCTGGAAAGATAATCAAGAGACTTTTTCATAATTGCATTAATTTGGGAAGTGGAGTTGCCAAATATTCAAGGTGACTAACCTCCTTCCCATGCCTTAAATTAACTAAAATATTTGAAGAGATAAACAAAGTGAAGAGACAACCCACAGACTAAGAGAAATTATTTGCAAACTCACAGCTGACATGGGATTAATAATCAGAATGTATAAGAAGTTCAAACAACTCAATAGTGAAAAAGTTAAAAGTGAGCAAAAGATCTAAGTAGCCATTTCTCAAAAGAAGACATACAAATGGCCAACAGGTACATTAAAAAAAAAATCAACATCACTAATCACCTGAGAAATGTAAATCAAATCACAGTGAGATATCAACTCACCACAGTTAAAATGACTTTTATTAAGAAGATAGGCAATAATGGATGGTGGTGAGGATGTGGAGAAAGGGGAACCCTTGTACACTGTTGGTGAAAGGTAACTTAGTAGGGCCACTATTGAGAACATTAAGGAGGTTTTTCAAAAAACTAAAAATGGGGCAACATAGTGAGGCCCCATCTCTACAAAAAATAAAAATTAGTTGGATGTGGTGGTGCATGCCTGTAGTCCTAGGTACTTGGGAGGCTGAGGTGGAAGGAATGCTTGAGCCCAGGAAGTTGAGGCCGCAGTAGGCTATGATAGCACCATTGCACTCCAGCCTGGGTGACAGAGTGAAACTCGGTCTCAAAAAAAGGAGAAGAAGAAAACTAAAAATACAACTACCATATGACTCAGCAAACACACAAATATTAAATGCATTTCTATACACTGACAATAAACAATTGAAAAACAAAATAGAAAATGCAATGCAATTCCCAATAGCACCAAATAAAGTAAAATTATTACATGTAAATCTGACAAAACATCTGTAGGAGTCGAGAGCTTAAAGCTACAAAAGTGCTAATGAGAGAAATGAAAGAAGACTATTTTGGTGTGATGGTTAATATTGAGTGTCAATTTGATTGGATTGAAGGATGCAAAGTATTGATCCTGGGTGTGTCTGCAAGGGCGTTGCCAAAGGAGATTAACATTTGAGTCAGTGGGCTGGGAAAGGCAGACCCACCCTCGATTGTGGGCACAATCTAATCAGCTGCCCTCGAATATAAAGTAGGCAGAAAAGCATGAAAAGGCGAGACTGGCCTAGCTTCCCAGCCTACATCTTTCACTCGTGCTGGATGCTTCTTGCCCTCAAACATCAGACTCCAAGTTCTTCAGTTTTGAGGCTTTGACTGGCTCTCCTGGCTCCTCAAGCTTGCAGACGGCCTATTGTAGGACCTTGTGATTGCATAAGTTAATATACATTTCTCTCTTATTAGTTCTGTCCCTCTAGGGAATCCTGACTAATACATTTGGAAAGATCTATTTCATTCATCCTACAGTAATCAAGAACATGTAGTATTCCCAGAAGAAGATACCTATAGATCAATGGAACCAAATAAAGAATCCAAAAATATATCTACACAAATATGTCTAAATAATCTTTGACAAAGAAATGAAAGTAATTCAGTGGAGGAGTGGTTTCCTGCCAAAAAAAGGCACTAGAGCCATTTAACATCCATCATCAAGAAAAAAAAAGATTCTTAATGTAAATTCACACCTTATACAAAAATTAACTCATAATAGATCATGGGCTTAAAGTAAAATTATACAACATAAAAATACGTGGTATACATTTATTATAAACTATAAATCATATGTTTATAATGTATACCACATACTTATGTGTACATATAAAAATATGTATACCACATATTTATATGTATATATAAAAATACATTTATAATATATGTATGAAAAACATCCATGGCCTAACCCCAGAGTTTTTAGATATGACTCCAAAAGGACAATCCACAAAAGAAAAAATTGGTAATTGACCTCATTAAAATTATAATTTTTTGCCTTGTGAAAATCTTTTTTAAGGCAAAAAGTCAAGATGCAGACATGGAGAGTATATTTATTAATCTTAGTCAACAAAGAACGTGCATTTCTACTATATAAAGAACTCTCAAAAATCAACATTGAAAAAAATACAATTAGAAAATGAGCAAAACACATGAATAGATGTTTCTCCAAAGAAGATGAAAGATGTACAAATTTATTAAATATTAGGAAAGTAAAATTTAAATAACAATAACATCACTATACATATATCAGAATGGCTGAAATTAAAGACAGTGATAATACTAAATGTTGGTGAGAATGTGGAGAAACTGGATCACTCGTACACGGGAATGTGAAATGGTTTAGCTACATTAGAAAGTATTTTATCAGTTATTTTTAAAACTGGTCTTAGTATATGACCCAGCATTTTCATTCTGGGGAATTTATGCCAGAGAAATGAAAATTTATTTTCACATAGAAGTTTGCACATACATATTCATAGCAGGTTTATTTTTAATAATGTAAAACTTTAAACTTCCCAAATGTCTTTCAGTAGGTGAATGGTCAAGCAAACTGTTATACATCAACATCATGAAATACTGTTCAGCAATAGAAAGAAACAAACTATTATGATATATTGATATACAAATTTAATAAACCTCAAGAAAATTATGTGATGTGAAAACAGCTGATGTCAAAGGCATACATGTTGTATGATTCCAGTTCTTATGAAATAACGTAACTACAGTGATGGAGAATTAGTGATTGCCAGAGGTCAGGGAAAGGATAAGGGCTAGGTGTGGCTCTAGGGATAAGTATCTTCATTGGTGGAATGGTCATATAAAGCTACCCTGTGATAAAATTATATCAAGCTATACACACACAAACACCCCAACATGAATGCATGTGCCACTGGTGAAAAGTACATATGCTCTATGGATTGTACCAACATCAGTTTCCTTGATGTGATACCTCATTCTATTTACACAGATGATAAAAGAGGAAGAGGCTGGGTAAAGGGTACATGGGGACTCCCTGTACTTTTTTTTTTTTTTTTTTGCAACTTCCCATGAATCTATATTTATTTCAAATAAAAAATTTAAACTTTAAGTGAGGCATTTGGATTTTATTTTTATAGGAGGTGTTAGATAGGGATCTGTTTTAGTTTCCTAGGGCAGTGCTATAAATAACCACAGACTGGCTGACTTAAAACAACAGAAGTTTGTTCTCTTACAGTTCTGAAGGCTAGAAGTCCAAAATCAGAAGGGAGTCTCTTTTCTGGAATCTCTGAGGCAGAATTTGTTCTCCTAGCTTCTGGTGTCTGCTGCAATCCTTGTACTTTCTTGACAGCTGCCTCACTCCAATTTCTGCCCAGTGTTGTCAAATAGCATTCTCCGTGTGTGTGTGTGTGTGTGTGTGTTTATAAATTTCATTTCACTTATTACTTTAGTCATCAGAGTAGGGCCTACTTTGATCCAGTATAACCTCATCTTCATTTGATTATCTGCAAAGAGTATTTCCAAATAAGGTTACATTCACTGGTACTGGGGGTAAGCTATGTTCTAAGAATTTATAATCCAGCAGAAATGACGTCAAACTAGTTTACCAACTTTTAAAATCTTTTACCATTTGGCTCATACAGTCAATTTCCCACATCTATCAAATAACTATTTTGGACTCTAATTAAGTATATATTTTAACACTCTATACCATACTAATTTCAGCTTCCTTCTTAATTTATGTTCCTGTTCAGAGTAATATCCCACCTGACTTCAACATTTTCTAATTTGATAGATTCTTTAAGATCCAGATCATGAAACATCCTTTAATATTTAGAACCAAACTTTGCTACATTTTTTCTGAAACTCTTTTGTAATTATAATTAGTACTGTGGTTTAGCATTCTGTTATTTCCAAAAGTGCCTCACCAAGTTTTGGCTTCATGTTCAGAATGTAGGCTCAATGAAGTCTGTGCATATGCTGATTAGGTCTAGAGTTGTATCTTGTGTATGCCCCTTCAAGGGTAATGGTGAATATATAAAAGACACTATTAAATGACTGATTGAATATGAAAATGTATCTTTAAAATAGAGAGGTGAGAAAACTTACACATAGATTCTGAATAAATGTTTATCTTCTTATAAAGTAAGAGAGAATAAAGACACATGAATTAAAATTGCACACAGTTGCAGGTTTAAAGAGAATAAAACGTATAAACAATGTAAAAAACTATTATGTAATGGAAATGTTTTATTTCGTCTACTGTGATTTCAAAGTTGCAGTTGTTTGCAGCAATACAGGAATAAAAATAGATTTCATATAGCAAAATGGAGCTAGTCAACAAAAATAAAAGAGATTTTGGTGCTTACATGTCCATTCCCTCTCTCTCTTTCTTCTGGAGTCTTTGTAATCTTATTCCTAGGCTAATAAAATGCAGCCTTTCCCCCTTAGTTTCCTATTTATTTTTCTTGGGATCTTGAATTACCTCAGCTTCCAGAAACTTTACCCAGTGGAATCTGCAGAAATGATCTGTAAGATCTTATGTTTAGAATGTTGATTATATAAAATTTAACAAATTGTAGTTTTAGTTTACCGTTTTTGATTCTTATGACTTAGATATTCCCCTTAATGTCATTTTAATTTCATTATGTTTGTTATATTTTGACTGTCATTATGGCTTGTTTTATATCCTATGTTAATTACTTTGTTTCTCTTTAAAACTAATTTTCTCCTTCACTACTCAAGGGGATTCTTTCTCTCACACAGTAAAAGAAAAACCAACAACTTCTCTAAAATATAAACAAACACTAGCTTCAAGGAGGAATAATTCAATTCACTACCAAAATATCTGTTTTGTAATCACTATGTATTTACAAAGCAACATGCAAGGCACTGCATATGGCTACAAAAAAACAGATATGGGGCAGTTATTGGCCTTCCAGAGCTTACAGTCTTGCCAAATGCATGAAAATAAACATTCATTTAAATGTATTACAGATGAAGTAAAATGATAGGACTAGGAAAACTACGTAGATATACACACATTCAGAGGACTGAGAGGAGATAGAGTAGGGATGAGAAATAAAGGATCAAAACAAAAAAAAGGTTAAGGTATTTTTAAAGATTTATTGGATAATCCATTTTTTAAATAGGGAATAAAAGAGATGATTCTAACAGATACAGTAATTGAGTTTTGAGGAATCCTGCATCTGCTCTCTAACCATTTTAGGCCTTAAGAAAATTATTCTACTTCTTAAACCTCAGCCTTTTGCTGTAGGTGAAAATTAAATATAAAAAGACCACCTACCTTATGAAGCTTTTATAAATGTTAAGTGGGAGTCATATAAAAACTTCAAAAATTTTACATAGTGTTCTATATTTTTTCTTTTTTTAAATTTTTTTGGCAGAAAATCTGGGATTGTTTTTATAGGAAAAATGTCAGTATGGATAAAGGTAAACATCCTATAAATATTTGCAAAATAAACTCAGAAATATATTAAATATAGTATATCATGCCCAAGTAAGGTTAATCCCAGGAATGCAAGGATGGATTAGACTGATTAGAGAATCTACTTATATAATTTTCCTTATTTAAATTAAAGGGGAAAATGTAGGTACATAACCGTGGAAAAACCTTTGATCTAAAGTCAATCGCCATGTATCATAAAATATTTAAGCAGGCTGGGCAGTGTTTTATGCCGGTAATCCCAGCACTTTGGGCAGCATAGCGAGACTCCCATCTCTATAAAAATAATAATAATAATAAAAAATAGCCAGGCATAGTGGTGTGGGCCAGTAGTCTTAGCTACTCAGGAGATCAAGGTGGAAGGATCTCTTAAACTCAGGAGTTCGAGGCTGCAGATGGCCATGATTGCGTCATTGCACTCCAGCCTGGGTAGCAGAACGAGCCCCTATCTCAAAAACAAACAAACAAAACAAAAACAAAAAGAAACTCCTAGCAAACTAAAGATAACAGGACACCACCTAAAGAGAATAAAGAACAAACCTAAGCCAACATAGTTTTAATGGTGAAATGTTGGAAACATTTTTTTTAAAGTAACGAATGAAAAAAAATGTCTCTTCCTACCACCATTTGTAGTCAATATTATGTCTGAGGCCTCAATGAATTCATGAAGATGGAAAAAAATAGCAAGCATAAGGACTGGAGAGAGGTAACAATAATAATAAACTGACAAATTAACAGAGTAGATATGATTTTAAGTAGTTTTTTTGGTATAAAATTAATTACATTCTTATACACTAGGTTAAAAATAAGAAAAGATTATTTTAAAAGTACAAGATGTACAAATATGATGTACATAAGAATGCATTTGACAAGGAATGTCCAAATGCTTTATGGAGAAATTATTTAACTTTATTAAAATCATAAAAGATGACTAAACTGAATATAGACGGTATGCATGAATAAAAAAGATTCAGTATCACAAAGATGGCAACTGCCTAAATTAATGAGTAATGTCAATGTGATTCTAATAAAAATCTCATTTTTTCCTTGATGGAACTTGACAAACTGATCTGAAAATATATATAATTGTAGGGACATAATGATAGACAAGATAATTTTAAGGAGGAACATGGAGGGGATTGATGCATGGACATCTGTTAAGGCATACCTACCATAAAACAATGGAAATTGAGACAGTGAATTTGGCTGTGGTGCAGACAAATGACCAATGCCACAAAAGAAAGTCCCCAGATGGAACTATGTATTTCTGGACAGTTTGTGTAGGAAGAAGGTGTAATTATAGATCAATGTAGAAAGAACAACAACTTAACAAATGAGGATGAAAGTGGTTTTCCATTTTAAAAAGTTGGCAGGGCTCACGCCTGTAATCCCAGGACTTTGGGAGGCCGAGGCAGGCGGATCACCTGAGGTCAGGAATTCGAGACCAACCTGGCCAACATATAGTGAAACCCCGTCTCTACTAAAACATACAAAAATTAACTGGGCGTGGTGGTGCATGCCTGTAGCCGCAGCTACTTGGAAAGCTGAGGCAGGAGAATTGCTTGAACCCGGGAGGCAGAGGTTGCAGTGAGCCAAGATCATGCCACTGCACTCCAGCCTGGGCAACAGAGTAAGACTCTGTCTCTCAGAACAAACAAACAAACAAAAAGTTACCTATACTTCACGTCATATATGAAATTCCTGGGTAACAAATAATCCGGTGTAAGAAAATTTTAAAACTTTTAGTACAAAATATGAATTTTTTTTTTTTTGAGATGGAGTCTTACTCTGTCACCCAGGCTGCAGTGCAGTGGCACGATCTCGGCTCACTGCAAGCTCCGCCTCCTGGGTTCAAGCCATTCTCCTGACTCAGCCTCCTGAGTAGCTGGGACTCAGGTGCCCGCAACCACGCTTGGCTAATTTTGTTTTTGTGTTTTTAGTAGAGACGGGGTTTCACTTGTTTTAGCCAGGATGGTCTCCATCTCCTGAGCTCGTGATCCGCCCGCCTCAGCCTCCCAAAGTGCTGGGATTACAGGCCTGAGCCACCACACCCAGCCCAAAATATGAATTTTCTTTATGAATTCAGGGTACGGAGTATTTAATAAGATCTGAAAATATTAAACATTTTAATTTTGATTATTAAAAATTTAGTGCTTTGCCTGAAATGACACCATTAAAATATTAAGAATTAAGTTTGGGCTGAAAGAATGTATTTAAAATGCATAAAACTTGCAGAGAATTAGTATCTAGATTTCAAAATGCCCTCCTATGAATCAAAAATGAAATGTAGAAACACTAAAGTATTAAAAGAGCAAATATATTAACTCACTTTCCTGGTTGAAGGACTGTATAGCCCATGAATATATGAAAATATTTTCAATTTCAATAGAAACCATGAAAATGCAAAATTATAATCACAATTAAATATCTGTCATGCTCCTAAACTAGACAATAATTTCAATGTCTGCCAATAACAGTGTTGGCAAGGCTGTAGACAAATAGGCAATCTCATATGTAGCTGCTGGTGGAAGTTTAAATTTTTGCATCCACTTTGGGGAGCAATTTGGCAATCTCTAGTAGAGCTAAATATGTGCATACCCTATGTCATAGAGAAACTCTCCCACAAGTGCACAAGAAAAAATATAGAATGTTTGTATCAGCATTTTTATAGGAAAACAATACCATAAAAAACTCTGAAACAGCATAAACAAACCAATACATTTGGTATAGTCATCCAGTGGAAATCCACCTAATAAAACTAATGAAATAGATTTGAATTTATCAACATGGATAAACCTAAAACAAAGTTGAACTAAAATAATTTTCAGGCAAGCACATAAAATAGGATATCATTTATGTACATAATATGCACACCATTATTTAGAGACAGGTACATAAGTAGAAGATGTGTAATAAACATGGAAATAATACAGCTTGAAGTCATGATTGTAGTTAGCTCTGGGAAGAGAGGGGAGTAGGGAGATGAAGGTGAACTAGGTCTTCAACTGTGCTTTTAGAAGTTTATTTCTCAGGCTGGGTGTTGGCTATATTGTTATATGACATATAGATGATAATAAGCCTATAAAATATAACAAATGCATGACATTATGCGTGTTAATATGGTTTGGCTGTGTCCCTACCCAAATCTCATCTTGAATTATGGTTCCCATAATCCCAACTTCTCTTGAGAGTGACCAGGTGGAGGTAATTGAATCATGGGGGCAGTCACTGCCATGCTGTTCTTGTGATAGTGAGTGAGTGAGTTCTCACAAGATCTGATGGTTTTATAAGGGGCTTTTTCCCTTTTGCTCTGTGCTTCTCCTTGCTGCCACCATGCGAAGGATGTATTGTTTCCCCTTCCGCTATGATCGTAAATTTCCTGAGGCTGCCCCAGCCATGCTGAACTGCGAGTCAATTAAATCTCTTTCCTTTATAAATTTCCCAGTCTTCGGTATGTCTTTATTAGCAGCATGAGAACAGATTAATACACAGTTAATATGTATAGAATTTATGGTTATATACATTAATATATATGATTATATGTATAACAAAAAGTATATATATTATATATGATATGATATATTATATACCATATATAACATAATTATATGGGTAATTATTTACATAATACCCTTTTGCATGTCTGAAATATTTCAAAATAAATAATATGTAATATGTAATATGTAATGCAGGGAGGAGGCAATATAGGAGAGTATTTTCAAAGAGTAATAAAAATGTAACCTGATGGCTCAGTCTGCTGTTTAAGATGAGAAAGGTGAATGTTTGGTCAAATATTCTGCTAATACATTACAAGGGTAACCATATTTCTAGTGAAATGTCTGATTGATATTAGAGAGTCCTTATTATTCACCTGCCAGCCCTTCCCTTCAATCAACTCCACATTTTATGCATCATTATTATTTTAGATACCAAATTCTGTATCACTCAGGAAGCAAAACACAAATAATAGTGATGGCAGCGGCTGCTACCATCACACCAGCTGCTGCAAAGACATGCAGCTAGGGCTGCACACTCCGTGGAGCCAATGGGAGTCCCGCCCCTTCTGAGTTGGGGTGAGAGCTCCCTGGGTATCAGTGCAGCCACCCAAACCTCAGCTGCAGACCCAGGGCTTCTGCTCCATGGAGCAGGCAGGAATCCTGCCCTCCTGGGTGGGGCTACAGCCACCCAAACTGCAGCTGTGGATCCAGATCTTCCTGTGCTCTTGGTGGGGGACAGGAGCAGGCAGGATCTGCCCTCCCTGGTGCAGCTGAAGCTGCCCAACCTGCAGTTGCAGACCTGGGCCTCCCACTCCATAGAGTGGGCAGGAGTCAGGGACAAGTGGGAGCCCTGCCCCTTCTGAATTGGTGGGGTAGGAGCTCCCGAGGTGCAGCTGCGGCAGCCCTCCCAAGTGCAGCCTGCACCCTCAGGGGCTTCTGGAAGAATCCCCTCATCCCTGCAGGCTCAGAGATTTCTGCTCTGGCTGCCTGGCCTCTCTCCCCTCCCAGGGCCTGCTCTGATCTATCAGCAGGGTTGGGACTGAGCCTCAGGACCGTGAAGGGAAGCAGAGGGCAGACAGATTCCTGGGCGGAAGGGGGCAGTCAGGTAAGGCCACTCCTTCAGGCCAGGAAGGTCCTAAAGGCTGGAGGCTGGGCTGCCAGTCCCCTGGACCAGGGTGGGGACTTGTGGTGCCTCGTCTGGGCCCACCCATGGTCACCCATGGACCAATCTGAATGCACTTCCTCCCTTCTGAGGTCCATGAAAGCCCCAGGTTCATGCAGAGCAGGGCAGAGGACAGAGAGACAATAGGCTGACCAGCTGAAGAGAGGAGCTACCCTCTTTGCTGGTAGCTGGAGCTAGTAGCTGGTAGCTGGAGATGACAGGCCAACCTGCTGGCAAAGAGGAGCCACCCTCTCCAGGGCCTCCTCTCTGCTGACAGCTGACACTCCACGAGATGACTGCCTACAGAGAGGAGCTACCCCCACTGCGGATTTCCTCTGAGTTGTTGTAACACTCAAAGCTCCTATTCATCTCATTCACCTTCCACTTGTCTGCATACCTCATTCTTCCTGGATGCAGGACAGAAACTTGGGCAAAGGTGCCACCAGCCACTGAGCTTTCCGGCCAGAAAAGCAACAGCCTAAAGATCCTATAACAATGGTGGCTTAAATAAATTATTTTTCTCCATATAACACTATGCTGAGCATAGGTAATTCTGAGCTATTTCTGGAGAAAGGCAGATCACAGCTGGAATGGAACCTCCATAGTCCTTCGGGAACCCAGGCATTGATCTTTTTCATCTACTATGTCTATAATGAGGTTGCAACTTTATAGTCACAAAAATTATCTAGAATTGCATCTATGATGCCCATGTTCCAGGCAGCAGAAAAGAGGGCAATGAAAATGATAAATGTCCCCCATTTAAGGACCTTCCCAAGAGTCTCAGGTATCAACATTATGGACATTAGATTACTAATTTTAGCTGCAAGGGAAGCAGGGAACTGGAGTACTTTAGCTGGGCTGATCTGAATACAATTGTTTTTCTGCTATTCTGAATATTTATTAAAGTCTTAACTCCTTACTAGGTCTATTTCTCTTTTAACAATTGGGTCCACAATTGATTCTTCAGGATGTTTATTGTGTTTGAGGAATAGCTAAAGAGTCATCATGGTGGTTGAAGAGAAGCAGTCAGTCCATATGCTCATGCTTTTACTAAACTTGAGGTCTTCCCTGACTTCTATGCAGATGTCCCTTATGTAACTGTTCACAAGGTATCCCACAAGCATTTGTTCTAGAAGTGTTCTGCACTCCAGGTACCGTCAAAATTTGGGGGTTTGGCTTCAAGTGACTAAGCACCACGTTTGTTTGTTTCTGAATCTTGGCTGCTTCCGCATTGTGTTTCCAGTAAATCTGCTCAAACGGCCACCATCTGCAGGACCACATGGTAGGTCCTCTGGCTCCCAATAGAAACATGCAAGAATGTTTGCATCATTTCAAAATGACATGAATGCTGAATAATAGAAACTCCAGCCTCTCCTTATCTATCTAAAAATGTGTCACTGCATTTTTTAATGTGTTGCAGCTAAGCCATTGTTTTTTGGATGAGGAACAATTTTTTGTCAAAGGTCAAAATGAGTAGCACTGTAAAAATACAATTTCGTATTATTTTTTCCTGCATTTTATAGGAGTTTTTTTTCACTACATACTAACTTTCTTTTGGTTCTGCCTTAAAAAGAAGAGGAAAACAAATTGTTTAACTTCTTTCTCCTTCCTCTTTCTTGTCCTTTTCCTACCTTCCTTCTGACATCAGAATAATCGTCTATTTTTCCTTTCTACCAAAGGAAAACTTGTTGACATTTTAAAATTATTTTTGTATTTGGAATTTCTTGCCCATCTTCTGTGCAAAAGTCATGTGGCTTAAACTTAGTGATAGAAAGAAAGTAAGGGAATTTATTTTGTGGAGGAAAAAAATGAATCAGTCTAATGTTCTGTATATATTTTTTACATTAGCGTCTGTATGACTTTGAAAGTTGTCCCATATAGACACTCATTCTTTCCCAAACTCATTGTTCTCATATCTCACAAGAAGTAATATTGAGTCCAGTCTGCTCAGATCCTGACTCTGTCTTATCAGTTTTGTTGACTCAGGAGAGCTTAGAATGCCAATGCATTCTCTCCAGCCAGATTCTGTTGCCTGTGCAGAAGGTAGGAGTGTCTTTGGTCTCAGTGCTTACTCTGCCTCAAGGGACTACAGATGGGTGAACTTTTGGACAATGGACTGAAAGAAGCAATAGCCAAGTGATTCTGAGTTAGGACTGGCTCTCTCATGCATTATCTGAAAAGGAACATCTCTTGTCATTACAAATAATGTGAACATTTCAATCTATTTCCTATCTACTAATGACAATTTCTTTTCCTTTTAAGAGAAAACTTTTTCATCATCTTCTGTCTTTTGCTAGCCACTCCATATATTGACTAACAGTGAATACTGAATTGCCCAGATTGCTTTGCCTGTTAATTCTAGTTTGGATTTCAGTTGTCAAAGGATTCTATCAGGGTGCAGTGAAAATCACACTGGCCTTTTATTAGCTTTTTTTTTTTTTGGTTTAAAACTCTATTCTTAAACAATAGTTAACACTCACAAAGCATTTGCAATGAGAAGGCACTGTTCTTTGTGCTTTATAAGTATTTATCTCACGTAATCCTTGTAAAAGCCCTACTAATATCTTTATCTTACAGATGGAAAGACTGAGGAGCAGAAACATTACAAAACTTGTTTAAGGTCATATGGCTAGAAGGTGATGGGACCACAATTCAATCCAAGCAGTCTATCCCAGAATCTGTGCTTTAAACAGAATACTATACTGCTATTCTTAGGGGCCTGAAGCCAATAATTATATTGGCTAATCCAATAAATGTTTGCACCTGAAAATTAGTGTATAAGACTCTGGAATGTGATAAATTTGCTAGATAAGTTAGTTCAATTCTGTGGTGAGCAGAACCATTTTTAAAGTCAGCCATTTTCCACCAGGAAACAAATCTCAGTATTTCTGTGCACTATTACACTTTCCTTCAAAAAATCTATAACAGGTATTGGAAGACAAATATATACAAAGACAAGTATTTATTCGTTTTTAAAATGTTACTGTGGTTGCTGATCTGAGATAAGATTCTTGGAAAAGATTGATCAAAGTCTATTTAAATGGTAGATGGTAGGAGAGCATGAAAAAACAATTTGATGAGAAGGGAAATAACAGAAAGAAGTGGATGTATCACTAATTAGAGAGACAGGAATATTGAAAAGCAACTTTGAGGAGAATTAGTGAAGACTTATTATTGAATGAGGGAAATTAGTGCTACAAAGGAACAAGACACCAGATATAGGACAGAAGGAGGATAAGTAATGGAGGCAAGTCTACAAAGATGAGAGCCTGTTGGTATTTTGAGATAAGCAAAGTATCAATGTCTACCAATTAGTAATCCTTGCAAGATAATTAAAAATAGAAAGATAAGAGAGTTTCCTTAATGATGTGATGAGAGATGATTCAAAGGAAAAACGATATTGGAACATGTAGCAGAAGAGCAAAATCAGTCAAGGCACTGAAGGCAGACAGCATTGGGGTATTTAGTTTTGTGAATGGTATGACAGGAGATAATTCAAATGAGAATTCATCTGGGAGTATAGAGTAGAAGAACTGGAAGTCACAAAGGTTCTAAAATCAAAGAAAATGTAGTGTTCTGTTAGGGAAAAGAAAAAGGCAGATTTGGAAAGTGGCAGAGTTACAAAGATGAATTTCACTTAATATGAATTTTTTATTATTTTCAGTCCATTTAGGAAAAGTTGTTGCAATTTTAGTGTTCAAGAGACAATTGGAGGCAAATAGATGTCACATTAAAAGTAATGTAACTAATGTGAAAGGATGTGATTTTTCAGTGCTCTACGAAACTACTTAGTAACTAGTATATTGCAGTTCTATTCTATCCACATACAATGGAAGAATTACCATGAGAATTTATCTTCTTGGTCATTCAGTATCATAAATTTAGCTTTCATGCCTGCACTTACTTTTGTGTAACGATACTTTTTCACCATCATATATATATTAATCTGTCACCCACAATTAGAATCTTTTGTTGAATTCCTAAATAAGTAAACAGCTTTGATAAAGTTGGGAAATGCTTTGAAACAGTGTTTTAAAGAGGAAATAGGTTCTCAAGATTAATTGACTTGAGCTCTCTGTAACTTAAGAAAAGTTTCTTTACTAAAAAGAAATAGTAAGAAGACCTGTCTTCGTTCATTTTATGCTGCTATAACAGAATACCTGAGACTAGTAATTTTTAAAGAAATGAGACTTATAGCTTACAGTTCTGGAAGCTTGGGAGTCTAAGATTGAAGGGCCTGTATCTTGCAAGAACATTCTTGCTGCATTATGCTATGACAGAAGACATAAAGGAAAGAGCATGAGAGAGAGTGAGAAAGACGGGGGTGCGGGGAGAGAGAGAGAGAGGAAGGAAGGCAGGCTCAACTTATGCGTTTAATCAGAAACTCATTCCTGCTATAACTAACCTATTCCCTAGATAATGGTGCTAACCCATTCATGATGGCAGAGCTCACATGATCTAATCACATGTTAATCGTCCAACCTCTTAATACCATCACAATGGCCATTAAACTTAAACATGATTTTTGGGGAGAAAGTTCAAACCATAGCAGGACCTGAATAGACTTTTTTTTCAAGGAAGACATTAATATTGCCAACAGGCATATAAAAAGGTGTTCAAGATCACTAATTATCAAGGAAATGCAAATCTAAATCACAATGAAATATCACCTCTATGCCTGTTAAGATAGTTATTATCAAAAAGACAAGAGCTAACAAGTATTGGCCAGGGTATGGAGATAATGAAAACCTCTTACACTGTTGGCAGGAGTGTAAACTGGTAGATCTATAATGAAATACAGTATGGAGGTTTCTCAAAAATTAAGATAGAATTATATGACCCAGGATTTTCTTTTCTGGATATATACCCAATGAAATTATAATCGGCACTTCATAGAGACACTATTCATTGCAGCATTATTCACAATACCTAAAATATGAAAGAAACCTATATAGTCTATCAGCAGACAGATAAAGAAATTGAATACACACACACACACACACACACACACACACACGAATGTTATTCGGCCATAAAAAGAGAAAGAGATCCTATCATTTTTGTGAACATGAATGTACTTGGAGGATATTATGCTAAGCAAAATAAGCTAGAAACAAAAAGAAAAATATTGCATGATCTCACTTATGAGTGGAATTTAAGAAAAGTCAAACACGTAGAAACAGAGAGTAGAACAGTTGTTCCTAGGAGTGGGGATGGGGGAAGGATGAGAAGATGTAGGTCAAATGGTACACAGTTGCAGTTATGTAGGATGAATATGTCTAGAGGTCTAATGTACAGCATGAGGACTATAGTTAGTATTACATTGTATACTGGAAATTTGCTAAGACAGTAGGTTGTAGGTACTCTTACTACAAAAAAGAGGTAACTATTTGATGGTGAAAAAAGTATATAAGGTGATATGTTAATTTTTTACTGTAGTAATCATATCACCATGTATTAATATATGTATATTAAAAACATCATGTTCTACACCTTAAATATATTCAATCAAAAAATAAGAAATAAATAAAAATGGGGCAATTTTTAAAAAAATAAATAAATGAGATAGTAAAAAAGAATAAAGAGGGTGGTTCAAGACAGCTGACTAGATGCAGCTAGTAGGCACCTCTTCCATGGAGAGGAATAAAAATAGTAAGCAAATATTTACACTTTGAATACATCACCTAAAAGAGAACACTGGAATTCAATAGAGAGGCAAAAGGAATCATGAAAAGAAAATGAGAGTGAAGCCAGACAGGGCTGGGATTGGCTTGAAGCTGGGAGAAGCTCTCTGATGTGGTAAATGGTAAGAGACCGCTGGGGCTCCACACTTCCACCAGGAACTATTATAATCCTGGCTATGAGAAAGTCCCTCAACCCTCCTGGGCCTCCAGACTAACGCAGGAAGGTGCCTAGAGATTGTGTAGAGGCATTGCTCAAACTCACATGGAATCCCAGGTGTTTTCAAGCCCTGAGCAGCTGCAGCCTAGTGCCATTCTAAGAGCCCAGGCCCCAGAGTCTTGTGTTCTGCCCTGAAGCTGCCACTGAAACCTCAGGGCGAGGGAAGGAGTGGAAAGGCCAGGCATTTTTGCACACTCAAAGACAGATACCATCACCACTGCTGTGAGATGAAGGAATCAGCAACTATGTGCCCCCACAGCTGCCAGCCTCCACTGCTCCTTCTAAGAGGGGCTTGGCCTCCCCGATGGCAGGCCAGCAATGTAGCCACCCTGCCCCCTACTGAGCATTTTAGCTACAGCCTCATCCCATTCTGACAGCCCAGTCCCCACAGGCTTGTGTCCTGCCCTGGGGCTGACACCAATGTTGCTACCACTACCACCACTGCCACAGAGCTTGGGAGGGAGCAGGGAGGCCATGAACTCTTGTGTACTTTAGTAGAGATAGCTCTGCCACTGCTGTGGGACAGAGGCATGAGTAAACTATGTGCCCCATGGCCGCCTACCTCTGCTGCTCCCACTGAGAGGGGCGTGCCCTTCCTGGTGGCAGGCCTGCAGCATAACCACCCTGCCCCCACCTGACTATTCTGCCATCAGCCTAAGAGCAGCCCACTTCAACCTATCATAGCCAGCACATAAACTCCTGGGAACTGAGGACAACTACACTGGTCTGGTCCCAGTCTAGTTCCCCGCCAGGACTTGTGCATACGGTTCAGGGGGCTGTCTAGGGGCATGTGAATTGAGGATTGCCTTGCCCAGTCCAATACCGCTAGTACCTGATCACTCCATGGGGTCTGAGGTCAGGCCAACCCAACCAGCGGACACCATCCCAGCTGGTATTCATCCACATAGGCCAAAAGGCAGACAACCTTCCCCTGTCTACACAAAGCAGCAGCACTTCTGCATCAGAGAACAGGCAAGTCACAAAGCTGTTTGTTTTGAGCCCAGGGAAGATCTTCCACCCTGAAGCCAATTCAGTGGAGAGCTGAAGAGGCATTTTTTAGATTTCGGCTAAATTATGGACTGAAGATAGACAACAGTATTGGGCTGAACTGAGTCAGGAGTTCTCCAGTACAGGAGTGTGATAGGGAAACAAATCATTTTTCTCTCTACCTAAGGCATACAGCTGGTGCAGCTCCTTCTGGACATGTGGAGAACTTAGTGATTGTCACCACGAGCAAGCTGCACCACCCCCATCAGGGATGGTGCCTGTGATTATCACTGGGGTATATATGAGTGAGCTTTCCAGCGCAACTCTCCCTAGCATTGTCACCTCATCCCCACAACCTTGGTGTTGAGCAAGGAACTCAGGACACCAGGCATTCTACAGACAGGTCCATCACCTGAGGCAACAAAGAGCACATCCCAGTAAACAAATATCAAGCACATACCCATCTGCTTCTATTCAGCTGGTTCTTGCTCATAAGCATCATCTACTGGCCTGGAGGTTGAACTGCACAACTCAATACAAAACCAGCTGACGGAAGTGCACAGCCTTGGAGAATGAGATAACATTACTGAAAGCTCTGCAAATTGCAGTCCTGAAAAAGGAAATTAATCTGCTCATACACCCAGTACATCACTACTACAACCAGCATTTGAGAAAGCTACCACACAAAAGCTATCTATAACAAAGAAACTCATATAGAGCCTTAGCTCCCTGAAAGCACCTAAAATCAAAACCAAATAACCATACACAACACAAATTACAGTCACACCTGCAAGAGGGAAAAAAATGTCCCACCTGCATGAAAGTAAATCCAAAAATAAAAAGTGACAGCCTCTTTTGATGAGAAGGAATTAGAATAAGAACTCTGACAATATTAAAAAACAGAATATTATGACACCTCCAAAGGGTCACATAAGCACTCTAACAATGGATCCAATTCAGAATGAAAATTTTGAAATGACAGCTACAAAAATTCAAAATATGATTTGTAAGGAAGCTCAATGAGATCCAAGAGAAAGTTTAAAATCAACCCAAAGAAATCAGAAAAACAGTTCAGGATATGAAAGAAAGACTTACTAAAGAGATAGATACTTAAAAAACAAATTCTGGAAATGAAACTTTTATTGAAGTAATTACAAAACACAGTTGAAAATTTTAACAATAAGCTAGACCATGCCGAATAAAGTACTTTAGAGCTGCAAGATAAGTCTTTTAAATTTACAGAGTCAGACAACAAAAAAACTTTTTTGAAAATGAACAAAGCCTGTGAGAAATATGGGAAAATGTAAAGCATCCAAACCTATAAATCATAGGTATTCTAAAGGGAAATGAAGAAAAAGTTAACAAGTATGCAAAACTTATTTAGGGAAATAATTGAAGAAAATGTCCCTGGTTTTTGCTAGAGATTTAGACATCCAGATAGAATAAGTTCAGAAAACTCCCTGGGGAATACACTGCAAGAGGGACTTTGATCAGAGCAGAATTAAATGACATTGAGACCAAGGGGGGGTGGGGGGAAACAGCAGCAACAACAAAAACCCACACACACACAATACAAAATGTCAATGAAATGATGTTTGTTCTTAGAAAATATTAAAAAATGGACAGACTACTAGCTAGATCAACTAAGAAAAAGAATGAAGATTGAAATAAGAACAATAAGAAATTAGAAGGTGACATTACAACTGATATTACAGAGATAAAAAAGATCATTAGAGACTACTATAAGTATCTTTACACTTAAACTAGAAAACCTAGATAAATTGGATAAATTCCTGAAAAAGTACAACCTCCAAAGATTGAGCCAAGAGGAAACAGAAATTCTGAACAGACCAGTAATGAGTAGTAAAATTAAATTTTAAAAAATCACCTCCTTCAAAAAAGTAGCCTAAGCCCAGGCAGAGTCACCGCTGAATTTTACCACACATACAAAAAAGAACTAATAGCAATCCTACTGAAACTTTTCCAAAAAGTTGAGGGGGAAAGAATCCTCCCAGACTGACTCGATGAAGCCAGTATTAACCTGATACGAAAATCAGTTGAGGACACAACAAAAAAGAAAACTTCTGGCCAATATTCTTGAAGAAAATAAATGTCATAATCTTCAATGAAACTAGCATACTGAATCTAAAAGCACATCAAAAATATAATACACCACAATCAAGTGTGTTTTATTCCAAGGGTGCAAGGATGACTCACCATATGCAAATTAGTAAATGTGATTCACCACATGGAATTAAAAACAAAAACCCTATGACTAGCTCAATAAATGCAAAAAAAGCTTTCAATAAAATCTAGCATCACTTCATGATAAATACCCCAAACAAACTAGGCAAGGAAGGAACATACCTCAAAATAATAAGACTCATATATGATAAACACATGGTCAACATTAAAGTGAGAGGAGAGAAGTTGAAAGCATTCCCTCTAAGAACTGGAACAAGGCAAAACTGCCCACTTTACTCGCTGATATACAACATAGTACTGGAAATCCTAGCTGGAGCCTTCAGGCAAGAAAGGAAGAAATAAAAAAGCATCCAAATGGGAAAAGTGGAAGTCAAATTATCTCTGTTCACTGATTACATCATCTTATACTTAGAAAACCCTATATACACCTGCAAAAGACTTCTAGATTTGACACATGACTTCAGTAAATTTTCAGGATACAAAATCAATGTACAAAAATAAGTAGCATTTCTATGCTTCAGTAAAGACCAAATTGAGAACCAAATCAGGAACTCAGTCCCATTTATAATAGCAACAAAATATAAAATGAAATAGCTAGTAATATGTTTAACCAAGGAGATGATAGATCTCTACAAAGAGTAGTATGAAAGTCCTATGAAAGAAATTGTAGATGACATGAATGGAAAACCATCTCATGCTCATAGATTGGTAGAATCGATATTGTTAAAATGACCTTACTACTCAAAGCTATTACAAGTGTTATTTTTCACATAATTAACCAAAACAATCCTAAAATTTGTATGCAACCAAAAAAATAGCCAAAATAGCCAAAGTAATCCTAAGCAAAAATAATAAAGCTGGAGATATCACATTATCTCACTTTAAATTATACTATAAAGCTTTAGTAACCAAAAAAGCATAATATTGGAATAAAATTAGACACACAGATCAATGGAACAGAACAGAGAATCCAGGAATAAAGTCACATACACTAACTGATCCTTGACAAATTTGACAGAAAATATACACTAAGGAATTAGTGTATATTGAATAGTGTAAACACTATTCAATAAATGGGGCTATTAAAATTAGATGGCCATAAGTAGAAAAATGAAACTGGGCTCCTATATCTCACCATATACAAAAATTAACTCAAGATGGGTTAAAGACTTAAACGTAACACCTAAAACTATAAAAATCCTATAAGGAATCCTGGGAAAAACTCTTCTGCACTTTGCCCTAGGCAGTGAATTTAAAAGTAGGTCCTCAAAAGGAAACCCAACAAAAACAAAAGTAGACAAAGAGGGCTTAGTTAAACTAAGAAGCTTCAGCACAACATAAGAAATAATCAGTGGAGTAAACAGACAAACTACAGAAGGGAGAAAACATTTATAAGCTAAGCATCTGACAAAGAGCTGATATCCAGAATCTACAAGAAACTCAAAGAAGTCAATGAGAAAACACACACACACACACACACACACACACACGATCTCATTAAAATATGGGCAAAGGACGTGAACAGACACTTCTCAAAAAAAGACAGATATGTGGGTGACAAAGGTGAAAAAAATCGTCAACATCACTAATCATCAGAGAGATGCAAACCAAAAGCAGTGAGATACTATCTCAGTCAGAATGGCTATTATTAAGAAGTCAAAAAATAACAGATGTAGGATGCAGAGAAGAGGGGACCCTTATACACTGTTGGTGGGAATGTAAATTAGTACAACTTCTATGGAAAACAGTATGAAGATTTCTCAAAGAACTAAAAGTAGAACTACCATTTGATCCAACAATCCCACTGCTGTTTATCTGCCCAAAGGAAAGGAAATCATTGTATAAAAAAAGATACCTGAACTCATATGTGTATCATAGCACTATTTACAATAGCAAGTCATGGAATCAATTTAAGTGTCCATCAATGGATGAGTGGATTAAAATGTTGTGTATATATGCCATGGAATATTAAGCAACCATGAAAAAGGATGGAATAATGCCCTTTGCAGCAACATGGGTGGAAGTGGAGGCCATTGCATTAAGTGAAATAAACCAGAAACAAAAATTCAAAAACCACATGTTCTCACTTATGAGAGCTAAACAATGAGTGGACATATAGTGTGTAATAATAGACATTGGAGACTCCAAGGGAGAATGCAAGGGGGTGATTGTTGAAAATTTCCTATTGGGTACAATATTTACTATTTGGGTGATGGGTACACAAAGAGCCCAGACTTCTCCACTTCACAATATATCCATGTAACAGCTGCACTTCTACACCATAAATCTATAAAAGTTAAAAAAAATTAAAAAGAAATAGCAAGGAACAAAGTATTCTAAACCTTAAATTCTCCAATTCCATGGAAAAATTCCTGTGGGATTAGATCAACGATCTTGTGCCTGACATGCTATTGACTTTGTACAGACTAGCAAGACTGCCACTGTTTTCTCTTTTGTTTCCATGGGCCCCAAATTTCTCACTTAAGTGCTCTCCCTAGCAGTTGGGTAACCCACTAGTGTGAATGGCTATCTAAATTTCAGAATGAAATATCCTTTGATCCCTATTCCAGTTGTTTGTCTTTACAGCTATTGTTGCTCAGCAATATCTCTGTTCTGTTTTGTGAATATTCTTTACAGTTCCTCTTTTTGAGTTGTGCCTCCAAAGGAAGTCATCCTGAGATAAAAAGCAGAGGACATTTTTGTGCTTAGTAATCATTGACAAATTTTTATTCAGTAGAGACCCAGAGACCCAGTGATATAATAATTAACATTAACTATATAAAAGTTGTCTTAGACAGTGAGTGCTGCTATAACAAAGTACTGTGAACTGGATGGCTTTAAGCAACAAAAATTTCTTTCTCACGGTCTGGAAGCTACGAGTCCCACAGTCAGGGTGCCAGCATAGCTAGGTTATATTGGATGATCTCTTCAACGTTGCAGACTGCTATCTTCTAACTGTGTCCTCACATGATGGTAAAAGATTTCAGAGAGCTCCCTGGAGAGTCCCTTTATAAGTGCACTAATATCCTCCTAGAGACCTAATCTCCTTGAAACCATCACAATGGGGCCAGGACTTCAACATATGGATTTGAAGGGGACACAAACATTCCACCCCTTGGAGAAGACAAATATTTAAATGAAATTATAGATTTCGTTTAAATCTGTAATTTAAGAGATTATAGTGCTAAAAGCTTACCCCATAAACTAACAGAGGTTAAACATGCCCTTATGATGCTATGAAGCACCAGGGAAATAACAAAATCTAATAGTAAGTGAACCAGATTACTGTTTTTGTTAGCTTTCAAATCGTCAATTGTTACAGCTACTAAAAAGGAAGGACACTGGACTGCCTATAGAGAATATTCTCATTTTATTTAGCACTTTCCATTGTCTTCCAGATGTTATTATAGTCAAAGTTTTCTTCTTTACATCTTACTATAAGTCTAAAAAATCAACATTATTGTTACTAATCTTATCCTGTTTGATGAAGACCTAGAGATCATACAAACTACGTGAAGTGAGACATGTCCTCTGATTCTAGCCCCGGTGCTGACACTTTTCAAAGGAACTGTTGCAGCGAACCCATCATGAGTTATCTCTCACAGTGCAAAGTAAAGACATCTCCTACACCAACTTTATTCCTTAAATTCTCTACAGTTTCTTATCTTTTAGTGAAGTCTACCACCCACATTTTTCATCTGTGCTATCCTGAACTGACCATATTTAACCTAAAAAACTATTGCATCCATAACCATGTCTCTGAGCATTTTCATCAACTCTTAACATAAACAAATTTTCATCTGATGACATCATCAACTCTTCTACAGCCTGTAAAAGTGGTGGTCGTGTTGTGAAGATGTGGAACAACCGGAAATCTCATGCACTGCTGGAGGAATGTAAATTGGTACAAGCTACCTGTCAAACCAGCAGCAGGTAAATTCTATACTTGAGCAAGTTATCATCTTAGGTATCAAACCAACAAACATTTGTTCATATAGTCACCAAAATATAGGTACTAAAATTTATAGCAACAATGTTCATAACAGCTCCAAAAAACATGTAGTGTAGAATATTCTTATTTCTAGAATATCCAAATGTCTACAATGTAGTAGAATCAGTAAATACAATGTGATATATAATGCAAATCCGTATAGCAAAGACAATGAACATTATATAGTTATGATATTGTGTCTTACAATAAAATGTTGAGTGAAATAAACTGAATACAAAATATATGCATATTCTATTATTCCACCTAAATGAAGGAAATAAGAGTAACGTGGTATTAGAAGTCACAATGGTATTATTCTTAATGGCGAGGGGCTTTAATAATGTCTGAAATGAATATGAGTAGTTATTTGTGGGGTACTGGTAACATTCTGTTTATTGATCTTGGTTCTGATTACATTCATAAATATTTGTATTGAAATAACATTTAACACTTTAGAAGGTTTCTCTTCTCTCTTGTTATGGTACTTTGAAAAACAGAAATTTCTATTTTATTCTATCAAATAAACTAATTTCTCATTTATGGTATCTTTCTCTCCTGCTTAAAAAAATGTTTAAAGTCAGGAAGATATTCTTCAATATTTCCCTTTAAAGTATTCCTCTTAAAATTTTCACACTGTGATCTGCAATCCTTTTGAGCTGTGTGTGTATGAGTGTGTATATGTGAGTATGTATAGTATATGTAGAGTTCAAAATGCATTTTTTCATAAGTGTAACCATTGTCATAAATGAGAGTTGGATCTGTTTCAGTACTCACAGTTTGTTTAAATGTTTGCCACTGCCAAATTGTCTTAATAACTCAGGTTAAATAGGTAGTATAAGTCCTTATAGCTTATGTTAAATCCTTATAGCTCATAGCTATGCTCTTCTCCAAGTTTGAATTGACTAAATTTTGATTTATATTGAATTTATTCTACATATTAAAATTTAGAAAGTCAACATCTGTAAAATATTGAGGCTCCCAATCTATGTATTTAGTGCTTAATTTCTCTCAGTGATACATTATAGTCGTCAATGTGGAGATCTCATACAACTTTAGATTTATTCCTTGGTATTTATTATATGTAACGATATTGTAAATAATATTTTAAACCTTATTATACTGTTTGTCCCTGGCTTATAAAGACACTACTAATTTGTAAACTATGTATCCAGTATTTATGTCTTTAGTTCATGTTTCACATTTCAATACACTGATAAAGACTATAGTATGATATACATGATAAAATACTTGCAGCCATAAAAAAAGAACAAGGTCTCATGTCCTTTGCAAGGACATGGATGCAGCTGGAGGCCATTATCCTTAGCAAACTAACACATGAACAGAAAACCAAATACCACATGTTCTCACTTGAAAGTGGGAGCTAAATGATGACAGCACATGGACCCATGGAAGGGAACAACACACACTGAGGCCTTTCAGAGGGTGCAGGGTGGGAGGAGGGAGAGGATCAGGAAAAATAACTAATGAGTGCTAGACTTAATACCTGGATGATGAAATAATCTGCACAATAAAACCCACAGCACAAATTTACCTATGTGATAAAGTTGCACATATAAACTTGAATTTAAAAAAAAAGTTAAAAAACTTTAAAAATATTCTCAACTATTTGTTTAAGAAAATAAAGTTCTTAAAAGAAAGACTCTTTTAAGACAATATGAGAAAATATGGCCATTTTTGTCTAATTGACAACATATAAAATATTTAATATTGTTATCATTGCATATGATATTTGGAACTTATTGATATAAAGTATTTAACAGGTTTCAAAGTTTTTCTCGTATTTGTAGTTAACAAAATAAATATTTTAGAATCATGAGGAGTTGTTGAATTTTATCGAAAGTTTATTCTACAGCTATAAAAAATCATATAATTTTTCTGCTTTTCTCAATTAATGTGGTAAAGCATAGGCTGAGAAATACCTTTGTATTTCTGAAACAATCTGAGTAAATCAACTACATTTTTAGTGCAGTTTGAAATTCACAGCAAAATTGAGCAGAATACCCATATACCCACTGCCCAAACACCTGTACAACTTTTCCTACTATCAGTATCCCCCCATCAGAGTGGTACTTTTTTTTTTTTTTTACGATCAGTACACCTACAGAGACACACCATCATCCAAAGGCCATATTTTACATTAAGGTTCACTCTTGGGGTGTACATATTATGAGTTTGGACAAAAGTATAAAGGCATGTATTCAACACTGTAGTGTCATACAGAGTAGTTTCACTGCTGTAAAAATCTTCTGTTCTGTGTCTGTTTATGTCACATTTCCCACTAACCTCTGTCAACCAACCCCTGATCCTTTTATTGTATCCATAGTTTTGCCTTTTTCAGAAGGTCATATAGTTGAAATCATACAGTATGTAACTTTTACAAATTTCCTTCTTTCACTTAGTAATGTGCATTTGAAGTTCCTTCATGTCTTTTCTTGGCTTGACACCTCATTTCTTTTTAGCACACAATAATATTCCATTGTCTGGATGTACCACTAATTATCCATTAACCCATTACAGAACATCATGGATGCTTTCAAGTTTTGGCAAGTATAAGACTTGTAAAAGTTTTATAAACATCCATGTGCACGTTCTGTGTGGAAGTAAATTGTGAGTAAATAGTAATTAATGTGATTGCTGGATCAATCCTACAGTAAGAGTTAGTTTGGTAAGAAATATCTAAAAGTGTGTTTTCTTTATGAGAATCACTTGTAATAAGAGATTCAATTTCATTAGAAAATAGTCAGATTTTCTACATCTTATTCTGCCAGCTTTGTTTAGTTGTAGATTTTTAAGGAATTGGTCCATTTTTAAATTTTTGTTAAACTTGCTCATTTTAAGTTCATAATACCTCATTTTTCTCAGTTTCTGTAAGATTTCTATTGATGTTCTCATCTTTTTTCCTGAGAATCTCTGTCTTTCTCTTCCTCTCTCTGACTAGTTTATAGATTTCATCATTGTATATTTATTCTTTTTTGTTGGTATCTGTTTTAATTTTTATTATTTTATTCTGTGTACTTAATGTGTTTACTTAGCTCATTTTAGAGAGTGTCTCACATGTCTTATATTCTTTGATTATTTTTCATTCTTTTTCATGTCTGTGCTTTAATTTAGACATTTTTATTGACGTTTTATCCATTTCACTTTTACTTGGTACCACTATACCTACTATGTCAATAATCCATTTATTAATTTTTTTAATTTCAAATATTGTTATTTTTAGTTTTAGAATGTTTGATTCTTTTTAATACATCTTTATTTCCATATATCTTTAATAAAATTTGCAATGTGTGGAAAAAAACATTTATACCTAGTTTTTTATCCTTTCCTGTATTGTCTTAAACATAGTTATTTAAAATTCTCACTTGAATAACTCTAAATCCTGGATTATCTCAGGGTTTATTTCTGTAACATACTTCTCTTCTTGAACAATATCTTAAATGTTGGTCTCATTTTATTGCTGCTTCATATGTCTACATTTTTTATTATGTATTGGATATTTGTATAAATGAAATTACCATTCTTCAGAAAGCATCCGTTATTGCCTGTATTTGAAACATGGCTAGGTGACTGACCATATTTGTTTTGCCTGGTGTGGACCTGGGCCTGTGTTGGATTACCAGTTTAGCAAGATAGAGCCTGCCTCCAATTTATCCCTTTTACTAGAAGGTGGCCCTCTAGAGATTTCAGTTGAAACCCTATTAAGTCTTCCTTTATATAACCCTGAAAACAGGAAAATTCATTTAAACTCTTCAGAGTATTATCAGCAAAGCTCTTTAACTTATTTTTCCCTTGTAGATTCAAAATTTAGTACTAAATTTGAGGAGGGACTAGCTGTGTTTTTGAGATGGCTTCATTATCTATCTGTCACTTCAACCCTGAATGAGCTATAAAGTCTGTACTGGTTTCTTTGTAACTCAAAATAAGCATCTGCCAGAGGGCAAGCCTGTTTTCCCAGATTCTAGCCAGCTCTGTAATCAGTAAACTGGCTGTATATCATCAGTATTATTTCACTATTCCCTTTTTAGAGCTTTCATCTTTTGCATATTTTACCTTCGGGCCCGTTATGCTCAGTGCTATTGTTGTTTCCTAAGTGCTGAGGGTCTGATGGAAATACATCTTTTCCATTTGCAAGTTTTTACCTTAGCTCTTTTTAGCCTCCCTTGAAGACTTACATTTCCAGAAATATCTTCTGGGGCAAATAAGCAATCTGTTCAAGGCTTTTCAGGCTTTTAGTTTTATTACTTTAGCCCTGTATGAACATTCTGCTGGTTCTTTCTTCCATTTTCCCCCAAGAGTATCCCTCAGAGTGATTCTAAGATTCTCAGCCCCAGTCTGAACTAGCAAATGCCCTCTTAGTGGGAGGGATCTTACAATATTCAGCTCATCTCTAAATCTTAATTTTCTCTTTGTTAATTTAGTCCACCTAATCCTCATTGTTTCCACAACTCTCTGATGTTTTGAAAAGCATTATTTAAAAATACATGGACTTTTCTATATGTTGTCAGAGGGAGCATATTTTCTGTCATCAAAGATAATGGGTCTCATCATGACTATTAAACATGACTCCAATGGTTCTGGCTAATGTGGTATGATTCACGACAGAAATAATGATGTTTTATGGCAAAAAAAACCCAGATCATAATTCTTTACAAGTGATAATGGTTTTCTTAATAATCCAAAAAATAGGTGAAAACTTACTATGGTCATTTAGAAAACTTGTTAAAGTGAATCATCAAAAATCCTTAAATGTCCTGAATAACAGACTGCCAAATAGCAACAGTGGTTAGGCTTGGTAATGTTCGTTTGTAAAACAGAGCTGATAAGAGAAAACCTGTCCTGTGAAAAAGAAATAATTTCCACTGAGTTCTACCCAATGGAAAAACATGTTTACTGTGACAGTCTTTCATTTTTCTTAATATAAAGATGTAAATTCAGATTTTCAAGTCAAGTATTCTGTTATTTTATAATTACCCTTTTCAAAGAGGTTCTATAGATAAAATATGTCATTATTTTCAAACTAAATTTTTCTATTGATGGCAGGTATGCTTCCTTATATCTTTTATGTCCTGTTAGAATATACTTTGTGAAATAATCCATTTACAGTAGTATTGCAAGATAAATTAACCTGATAAATACTGCGTGTAATCTAAGAAAATAAGGAAAACCACAACATTTAATTGGGAGATAATACATACCTGGAGGTAATATGCAATTCCTTATTTGGGAAAACTGAGCATTATAAAGGTGTTCATTACTTTAAAATATAAATTTAAAATTTAGTCTACATATAATTTACAGATTATTGGAATGGTGCCTTCAATTCCTAGTTCTTAATATGAATATTCATCTCCTGGTATCCACAGGGGATTTGTTCCAGGAACTTGTGTAGATTCCATAATACATGGATTCTCAAGTGTCTTATATAAAATGGTGCAGTATTTGCCTATAACCTATGCACATTTTCCCATGTACTTTAAATCATCTCTAGATTACTTAGAATACATAATACAATGTAAATGCCATATAAACAATTGTCATACTGTGTTGCTTAGAGAATAATAAGAAAAACGTGTATATTTTCAGTAAAATGCAACCTTTTTTTAATTTGAATATTTTTGATATTCAGTTGGTTGAATCCACAGACTTGGAACCCACAGATATGGAGGGTTGGCCCTACTAATTTTAACATGAATTGAGTCTGAACCTGATTATACTTTTACTGAACACTGTGGGATCTGCAAAAGTGAAGAGTAGGCGATGGTATGAAGTGGTTGAGTAAAGTTATGTCATAATGACTCTTGAAGGACTGGTACATTCCCAATATGTGGGGCATAGAATTGGCATTCTATCAGTTTATGTTGAATGACTACTCAACTACTACATTTTGTTATTGAGTCAAAAAGTGAGAATAGAATTTGGTAAGCAAGCAGAAAGGTTACTCAAGGTAAGAATAAAGAAAGTGTGTAAAATATTAGAAGAAAAGGAAACGAAGAACAGATTGAGTTAGGTTAATATATGTGCAGCAGACAGGTAATGAATGTTTTCTGTGTTTTGGGGAAATAGCAAGCAGTCATCAGCTAAGAGTTAGAGGTGGATTTGGTAGAAGAGAGAAAAGAAAATATGAATTAATCATCTAGAATAATGCAAAAATGAATGGTTTACAAATGTATACTATGAATGCTGGATAAAATTAAGATCTTTATAAGACTAATTGCTTTATAATTTAAAATAAAACTTGCCAGCAATGTGGTACACTTTTGTTCAGCCATGTTCAACTGTATGAGTGCAGGCAAAAAGTAGGTGGAAGGCCAAATATTAGGTTTTATTTTACTAATAGAAGTAAGTACAGTTGAGAGTAGATACACGTTGAGCTTATATCTATGTAGTAATAATTATCCTAAAATTTAAGCTTGTTAAGGAATAAAATTAAACTATCAATGAACAGTAAGTCCAAATGGGATCAAAAGCTTGGGTGATCAGTCAGAGAGTTAGATGGTTGAAATTAAGACTATGGAGAATATTCTGCTTGTTATTAATCAAATGACTATCATTTATTATACAACCTGGCACATCTTTATTCACTGGACACATTATATGTATATTAATTAAAGGCATTTTTCTAAGGTAGGTGACCTTTGGCCTGTAGAAGGTAAATGGCTGGATTGGGCAGTTGGGAAGAACATTGGAAAACAGAAAGAAAAAAGTCTTAATGATGATAGGTTTTGGAGAGATTAGGCATCTAATTAAGACAGAATTATGTTGGAAATAGAGACAACGAGCTTAAAGCAACCTCCAAAGAAAGACGGAGAGAGGCCCTGGATTACCATATAAATGCCACAAAGACAGAGAGTTAATTGTATAAAATTAAGAGCTGCAAATGTTAGGGTTTCTTGTTTTTGTTTTTTTATCGACTATGCATTCAGTGCTTATCTTCATTGCTATACTTTAATTCAATGAAGAGAAACACAAATTAATATTCATTGTTGTAACTGCAGCACCAAATATTATAAGCACTCAGGGACTATTAGCTGAATAAATGAGTTAATTAGATTAAATGTGGTAGATGAATGTGCATTGTCCATATAATGCCACAAATATATTTGAATTCAAACTTTCAAAGTGAATGAATGATTTTGTGAGAGTATTTCCAAGGAGTGAATATTATTATTATATGATGTTGCTTCTATTATAAAGTATATAAATACTTATTTATTTTTATCTTCTAACTACTACAAAAATCATACATCGAATTGACCAAATTGAAGCAAATCAGCTTCAAGCATTACAATGTTTTAAATAGAATTACATTTATATCAATATAGTTTAAAGGAAGCATGGACAATATGTAGCCTGGCAAAGAAGTCTTTGCTGCAGAATTTTGCATAATACAAGTGCTTAACAATTTCCAGGTTTGACACTGGGCAATATCATTTTAATATCAACGCTTGGAATCAGTCATTCCATGTTAAGAATAGAAAATGACTTCCTTTTTTCAGAGGTAGATAAACACTCGTAAGACTAACAAATTTTTTTTTTTAATGTTGCCCTACTTTGCTGCTTCACTGGTTACATTTATTGAAAGGATTAGAATTTTTTATTTGTTTCTCATATTTTATCTTCTTAATGATTATGGAGTTAGAGCATGTGGGTATCTGATATTCTACTTAGGTATATAGGTCCATATCTTCTCTCCCCCTTGAGGACTCAGACGTCAAAAGGAAAAAATATATATATTTTTATTTTATTAAGACAAGGACCACTACAATCAAAAAGCAACATAGAAAAAGTTCTCACATCAAATTTCATTATGTTTAACTATTTCAAATTATATTCCTTAAAGACTAGAGTTTCGCCTGAGGTGAACCTGGCTTGTCACAGGAGGTAAGGTGAGTGAGAAGCTCAGTATGTGTCCCCTTGACACATGGAATTTCAATCTTTATTTAAAATACAAGAGAATCTCTACTTAGGTATGTTATATATTGAAGTTTTATATATTAATGTTAAAATATTACATTGTTTAATATTCTTTAGTGACATTTGTTTTCATTTCCTTTGCTCCTAGTGTAGTAATAAGTACAACTGCCAAACTCTTGGAGTTATCATAAATAAAGGACCTGTCTTGGCTATTTGCTTATTCTAATGTTGCTAGTTTACTGCATATAAATGCTAAAACCTTGGTATATTTGCTCTTAAATTGATGTAATTCATACAATAATTGATATTTCTTCATAAGGTTAAATGGTTGCATTATTGTACTTGAAGGAGATTTACTCTATTTCAAGAGATTAGATTTGTAATTAGCAAGTTGAATTTTCAGAAGCCTGAATTTAGCTTTACACAGTAATATTGTGTGTGTGCTTTAAATACACACCGTACAATAAAGAAACGGGGTACTTTATTAGCTAGTGAGATCCCTATCACTAGATCTATTCTGCAGGGTTGTAGGGGTACTTTATTGAATTGGTGGTTAGGTAATTCCATAGATTTCTTCTGTGTCTGAAACCATATGAGTTGTCTTCATATAAAAGTGGACTATTTAATTACCTGTATGATTTGATTGATATATTTACTTTGATTTTACAGATTACAAATAGATGGATAAGGCCTGTTTGCCTTTCTTATATAATGAAAACTTAAAACCTTACATTGGTTACTAAGATTGTTAATCTTATTACACATGCCTTCACCTGTTTTTATACACTTTATTGCTGGGATAGGAGTACATTTTTAAAAATTAACCCTTCACAATATATTTTAATGTTTGCTCACTTTGTAGAAATAAAATCCTATTTGCATGCAAATAAAACATTATTTTAAAAATTATATATTGTTTCAAATGTTCAATTTTAAATAAATAATATCTTTACAAAATGGTTCAATAACCACAATAGTCAAAAGAAACAGTAAAATAAGTCCAGAGTGAAAAAAAATTTATTTGCTTCTGGTATGGTTCTTTCTTGACATTTAATTGGATTTCTTATAAGGGAGTTTTACTTTTAGTATGCCCACTGGGATGCTATGATGCCTTAAACCAAAGAACTATTAGTGCTTCCAAGATGGCAATGTGTAGACATAATCATTTTGTTTAAGTTGGCACGTCTCACATTAGTCAAGCATTCTGGAAATCAGCGTCTTACCAAATCCATATGCTGTAAATCACTTTGTTTAAGTAATAGACATGCTCTTTTCTAAGAGCTAAGGCTCAACAGAAACCTGAAATATAAGATCATTTACCTCCAAGAGGTTTCATAAGAAAACAATCAAGGTATTCTATGACATGGACACACGTTATTAACTGTCTATAAAAGGATGAGAAGGTGGAGATCTCAGCAGGTTTGTTTCTGTGCTGTATTTTTGCATGTCATTGTGGTGGGGGTAACTTACAGAAGATAAATGCACTAAAATATATCAGCTGGGCTAAAATCACTCCTTTTAGTCACAGCTTAGATTATTTTCTTTTTTAAGCATTATATTTGAATTTTCAGCTTTCAATAAGCCAAAGGATTGTAGGGGTGCCAGAACATTCTAAAAGATAAATTCTGAGGTACTAGAAAGGTATATAACTTTTAGATTTATCAAACTCAGCAGACAGCAAGTCTGAGAAAAAAATGAGATCTCCAATTATTTAAATATTTCTCAGAGGCAAAAATACTAAATTGATCTGAGAAGTTACATTTTGGAATAATAGCAACACAATTTATTCTACCAGTGGATGTTAAAGAATATCTTCTCTAAATAAACTAATTCTGTTTCTACTTTTCATATAGAATTTTACTTTTAAAAATGTATTTTAATTTGTTTTAGGCTAGACATTACTATAGTGAAATGGTTAAAATATTGCTATTCTTCAAGCAATTATTATGTTGTTTTAATATATTTGAGTTATTCTAACAGACATTTTCATAATAATTTACAGCCCATGATTTGTTATTTATATATAATTAATATGTGAAGAATTAATGTGAATCATTATTTTAAATGTACATTTTAATTAATTGTTTATATGTATTTATTATTTACTTGATAAAAATATATTTTGATAATCCACTATATATCAAGAACAACTTAGACTACAAGATAAATGTTGCTGGAGTTTGGCCAAGGGGAAAATATTAGCATATATATAAGGATAGTCATAAAATTATTTTAATATTTTTCAGTTACATCAAATAATTTATTTGAATTCTGTGATACCTATTATTGAGAGAAATATGTTTTAACTGAGTTACTTTATCCAAATTTCCAAGTTAGTGAGAGGTCAATAATGTATGGCAGTAATTAGACCTTTTTCAATCTTTTCCCAGACTTGATACCTTTACTATGGATATATCAGATATATGAAAATAGCCAAAATAGATACTATAATTATGAGAGATAAAACTTCTGAAAAACAGTAATTGTATTTCTTAATGAAGTCATAATTCCAGAGACTTAAAAACCATTTTCCTACCATTTATATTTTCATTGTTGGTCTCGGTTTACAAAAAACCATTTTAATGATCTGTTTAAAGTCAATTGTGATAGAGAGAGAAAGAGAGACAGAGACAGAAAAAGAGAAAGAGAGGGAGAAAGAGGGAGAGACAATCACTGGCTAAAATAGAAAGTACTACAAAGTCAAGTGGCAAAGAGTATGGAATACAAAGAAGGAGAAAAAACAGTGGGGAATGGTAACCTTAACTACTAAACTACCTATAACATCTTGTCAGGATTGAACAATTCAGGATTTCAGAATTAAACAATATACAAGGGAAAGCAAACATGGGCTTATTGATTCTGAATTTCTTTTTATAGCACAAAAATATATTGGTCAAAATCCCTTTTAGAATTTTAATTCATCATGGTTTTTCCCATCTAGCTTTACCGAACGTTGGAAAAGTCCCAGGTATGTTTGACAATGAGATAAGTTTATCAATATTAATACATTCATAGTCAAGGTAGTGAGTCTAGCAGCTATTGAAGCATGACTTGCACTGTAATCCTTTATGCCAAAGAATTATACCACTTAACTTTACTATAGAAAACTAGATTTTAATAAGTATCACCTTCATTAGTAAAAATAAGTAATAATTTATTCTTTCGACGAGAATTTGAAATATACAAGACCCCTTGCAAGTATTGTAACAGTTAACAGTTAAGCCAAGATTCCTGTGGAGTATATTATTATTATTATTGTTACTCAGTTTTCCAGATGAAAGAAAAAGGAGCACCATTGTCACAAATTACTTGGTTAATGTCAGAATTCCACTAAGGTACTGATATAAAATTCTAGATAGCAAAATACACTTAAAGCTGTAGTGGATTTTTAAGTCTTATAGCAAAAATGATAAAAGCAATAGTAAAGTAATTTAATACTGTTTAGAAATAGAAATATCAATGAAATAAAAAATAATACAGAAAGACAATATAGATGTTGAAAAAGAGACAGAGAAAGAGAGAGAGAGATGAATAGAAAATAAGAAAGAACAGGAAAAAGGTGCCATTACAATCTTTAAGATGGACAAAACATTCCTGCCAATTATGTGGAACAACACATTAGACACAATGGAAAGTAAATGGATAAATAGAAAGACAGATACAGATAGATAAAACAAGAACCATACTTATCTCCTCAAACCAAAATGTGTTTTAGGATGATCAAAAATGTAAACATAAAAATAAGCTGTACAATAGAAAAAATAGATAATTTTAAAATATTTCATGGCAAGACATGAACCCATAAATCACAGAGAAAAAGATAATTAAATTTGATATTTAATTTGAATTTCAAATAGCTAAACATATATGCAATTAGGTAGTAGAGTAGTGAGGCTTGTCATTTAAATATTGATCAAAATCAATAAGAAAAAATCAACAGGCTAACAGATAATACAAAATATATGAATGTATAATTCATAATCAAAAACAGACTGAAACAAAAAAGATGCTGAACATCTCTTATAACATTAAAATATCAAGATATACATTAGAATTGAATTTATTATAATAATAATTTTTGAGGAAATAGGCACTCCTATACTGGTAACCAGGTAGTAGTTATTAAATTAAATAAACACATTATTTCATCCTGCAATTCATCTAGTAGAAATGTGTTTTACATATTTACTGTCAATTGTACCCAAAGATACTCATAAACTGAGGTTTTTATATATTATTTTTGTAATAACACACACAAAATATAATTAACACAAATGTCTTTTAAGAGGACTAATTAAATTATTGATTACCAATATAGACTCTAAAGGACTCTACAATATTATTGTAGGATGAAGTACTTAAGATATATTGTTAATTAAATTACAAAGGAGAGTACTGAAAATGTGGGTCACATACTCCCACTTGTATAAAAATGAAACATACAATTAGGAAAATTTTCTGTACTGATACAAATGACCTTATTGGTAGTGATAATTTTTCAAGAATAAAATTATAAGTCAAGTTTGAGAAGATGTTTTACCTTTTATAAAGCTTTTTACTGTTTTAGTTTATAATATGTGCAAGAGTTTTTATGATAAGACAAATAAGGAAACAGTAATAATGTTAAAAAAGCTATTTTACTGTTACTATGTACTAAACTTATGTTCACATGTAACTGAATTCTTAAAAAATTCTTGGCCGGGCGCGGTGGCTCACGCCTGTAATCCCAGCACTTTTGGAGGCCATGGTGGGCGGATCACGAGGTCAGGAGATCGAGACCATCCTGGCTAACACGGTGAAACCCAGTCTCTACTAAAAACACAAAAAAATTAGCCTGGCGTGGTGGCGGGCGCCTGTAGTTCCAGCTACTCCGGATGCTGAGGCAGGAGAATGGCGTGAACCCAGGAGGCGGAGCTTGCAGTGAGCCGGGATAGCGCCACTGCACTCCAGCCTGGCCTAAAGAGCGAGACGGCGAAAAAAAAAAAAATTCTTAAGAAAGTATCATTATTTCATCTCGCCTTGTACAGACAAAATGAAATAGAAGAGCAGAGAAGTTAAATAACTACCACCACTTGTATGACCAGAAAGTGACTGTGTTGAGAAGTCTCATTTCCAAATTTCTGCTCTTCAGTGCCTTACTGAAAGGTCATGAATCAATATCTGATATAAAGGATAGTGGTCTTGTTATAAGCTCCTGACCTACTTTTCATTTGACCTCACTTGCATTTTATGTTAACATGGAAGAAACAAATAGTTTTATATAAATCAGAGACAAATTAGTATCAGTAGAAATTAAGTAATTCTTCCTTTGTCTGTCACGTAATCTCAGTATTGATATCTTTTCAAGGGAAACAGAAACCTGCAAACTTAAGGTTCTCTATTCTCTGAAATGACCTTCTAGGAAATGTCCTGATTTACATGCTTACGGCTTGTCTAACCTTGAGTGCGAAGAGCTCAGTACATGCTGGTCTTAAAAGGGGTAATTATTTTTAAAATAAATTACTTTTATTTTCTCTATAAAAGACAAAGATTTTGACATATTTTTTATCTATTCTTAAGAGCTCTTCTTAGTAGTGAAAGCATATGTGAAAAAATCAAACAGCTGTGAATCTAAATATAGTATCAGATTCAGTCTTTACAACATAAAGGTTGGAAATGTTGCTGCTCAACATGTGAAAGTATAAATGACAGTGCTATGTGTTACAGAAATTGCAACTTTGGAAATTGAGCTTAATGCTAATTTATCTCATAGAGGGATGCTTATCATGCATCATCACATATATTGTACTATATTTTTCTAGTGTGAATAGGCCCACATGTGACTCATAACTCAAAAGAAAAGTTGATAGAATACATAGTTTATTGTTATTTGTTTCTTTCTTATGAATAGTATGATATCTCAGGGCGCAAAAATACTGCCACTAGGTAAAGAAGAGCAATGTTTAAAGAAATTTCAGCTAAGACAATCCAGTTAATGTGAACACAAAATAAGTATTTTTTAAAAGAAAAAAGGGATGGTAAAATGATTTTACTAAAAAATATATATTTTTAGTTATTTTCTGACAATAAGTCATATCCACTCTCAAGCTTCTTCATATTCAATATAATATCATTTGAATTAATTTAAAATTATGATTATGTGAAACAAAAATTTACTCACAACAAATTATATTTATCATGTTATATTTGCTAAGGTAGAAAATGTACTGATATATTTTCAGCAACAGGAATTGAAATAACAAAATTTTAAAAATCAACTAAGAAAGTAATTAATCAAACATCCTGTTTTCTAATCGTTTAGGTTTCTTGGCAATTCACTACAGAAGTGATAAATAACATCTGGTTTTATATGGTTAATGAATGTAACATGATACTGCAATTCTTTTTGCCTAGGGTTGCTGTGTCTTTTTCTTCCTCTCATTATATAAATAAATGTATAAAATCGGTAGCTATTTTTGTTACATACATTAATGTGAAATAGCCACAGTGCAGTCTCTTAGTAGTTTTCTTTTTTTTAACTGGTGTGTTTTTCAGAGTCTGTAATAATAGTGATGGATTTAACCTATGTGACCACCAAAAAAAGAAATTAAAGTGAAATCCAGGGACATAAATAGGTAGAATACAAATATCTTTTCAGTGTAGGGGCTGTACTACAGAGGAGACAATGCTACAATAAAACTATTAAGTAATTTGGGGTTTTAATTCAAAGATATTTAAGCATGCCTTTTATGGAAGAAGGTGACTACTACAAATTTATCTTATGAGCAAATAAGATACTGGGCAGCAAAGAAGTAAAGAAAATAATGCAGAAGAAATAAAATAAATATTCTTAACACTATGTGCTGTATATGCCTGAAAACACTTTATCTTTATAATGTGTATTTTATATTTAATTTAAAATTAAGGAAATATTGGTACCAAGAAGTTAAGTATCTTGCCCATAAATGTATATGTAATAAAAGAAGGAGAATTTGATACAATTCTATTAAATTTGAGTCTTTTTAAAAAATACTTCTGCATTTCTCTTGATAGCTCATATTAAAACAGCAGATTCCAGGAAGAGAGACAAACAGTAAGGGGAGAATGACTTATAGAGAGTGCTATTCATATATAGTTATTTAAAATACAATGTAAGTGTTGTTTTACATTGGACACTAATTCTTCAAATGTTTTGGTAAAATTAGTCTTTTATTTCCTTAAAGTGTGTTTGTGAAACATATGCAGAAGGACTGCAAGGGGTCTATTATAAAGGCAAATTCTGGTTCATAGAACAGATTATTCAATCAAATATATTAGGTAATAGAATGTGGTCATTTAGAGATATGAAAAGTAGTTCTTTATTTTGCTGCTTAAAAACAAACAGATAAATAAAAACAGGTCATCAACTTTTTAAAAAAACTAATGAGTCTTTAAAATATTTTATTAATTCCATGTATTTGGGAAATACAAAATATCCATGAAACGTTGCTGGATGAAAACAAGACTATGGTATCGAATTAATGGGAAAAGCCTACTGAAGTAAAAATGTACACACGTTTGAGTATAAAAACGTAAAACTTGTATGTTGAACAAGCATAATGAATGACCCTAATAAATACATATTTTATTCTTGTCTTTTAGTTCTTTTCTACCACTAGTAATTTTTCTGTGGTCCTGGATAAAAATTGGACCAGTGCCCATAATACTTTGCTTACTTCTATTTAATAGATCATTCTATAGTTATTTAAAATCTCAAAATATAGTCTTAATCAGAAATCTAATACAAGATATAAAGCAACACTTCAAGCTATGGCAAAAGATAAGACCTTCTTCCCTATATGCAACTAAAGACAGAGTTTGGGGAGACTTGTAGCTAGGAAAGAAGGTCTGGCGTTTTTTTTGTTTGTTTGTTTTTGTTTGTTTGTTTGTTTTGTTTTCCTTCCTCTGCTACCTTGTGGAAATAGAGAAATTAAAAGTGAAGGGACAGGGGATTTTTTTATTTGCTGATCTCTGGATCTGGCAGTATTTAAAGTTAATTTCACTCAGGAGTGCTTTGTGGGCTTGTGGATGCTTTTCTGTTTGGACCTCCTCTGCCCTCATTTATCTGATTGTCCACTTTTCCGGTTCTCTGGTTGTTAAGGTCTTCTGGCTTAAGACCTCTTGGACAATGATTTCTCTTTTTCCTGTTCTGCAACTGACTCCTAGTCCTTGGCAAATGGAATCATCCAATCTTTTCATTAATAGATGTAGGAAATGTAGGGCCTTTAGCTTTCTCAGGTATTAAAAAAAACCATCACTTTTATATGTTAAATCAAGGACGCTGAGTAATATCATCAAAGCTGCCTTTACTGTGCTTGGAATTCGAATGTAATATGGTAGAGGTGATAAGAAAAGAAATCATATCTGATAACAGTTCTCTTCGAAGAAAATCTTCCCAGAATTCCTACTTTGTTCTCTGTATCTTGACTTTTTTAAATTTTAAAGTTGGAAAGTTCTTTGCATCTTTTTTCTCTGTATCTTGATTTTTTTTTTATTTTTAAGTTGGAAAGTGGTCCAGTAACATGAAACCAATTGACTTTTCTTTTACTATTTTTTACAATTATTATTTATAAATTCAGCATATAGGGAACTATCTTACAAACACTTTGGGTTTTGATATCTATAATGTTGGTACATAAGTGAGAAATAAATAAGGTGGTTCTAATTCTGCAACGTGAAATATATGTGTACACTTACAAGTGTATATAAACAAGTATATTAAGAGAGAAAGGAAAAAGAAAAAGGAAAAAAGGCAAGACCGTTTAATGATCCTCTGATTATACTGTTAAATGTTATAATACAGTTCAGGTGTTAAAATCATCTTTTTCTATATTAAATTTTAATAGAAAAACACAAAATTATACCAAATCGGCCCTGTCAGAATAAAATAGAGGCATGTATAACTCCTATATTGTTTTATTCTCCTTCCTTAAAAGTGCGTTTATTAAATACCTTTACCATATAAGTTAAGTACACTCATCAACTGTTTATCTGTGGTACGTATTTTATCAATTATTGAAGAAACTATCCTTCAGCAATTTAACATCATTATTTTCAAAACGATGGGTTTTTTATTTCCCTCCTGCTTTCTACATGAATGTAATTGTTTAGATGAAAGTAATCCAATTTCTAAAAATTTGTTTTATTGTCATATAGCCCATGTTCATTGGGCTAGAATGCATGATTGATTATTCATTAAGATAATGTTTAGATAAATAATGCAAAGATATTAATCATGCTATGAACAAGAATGACTTGTTACTGTAGTGAGCAAAAAGAGAAGACATAGTGCTAAGTATGGGATGTTTATGTAATTTTAATACACAATTTGAGAATTACAACATAAATCATTTTTGCTGATAAGTCCAGTTAAAACCACTATTTGGCTGATACTATTTGTGGTTATATTTAGCATATTTTATTATACTTGAGAGCTTCATAAGATTCCATTTATTCCCCACTTCACATAAAAATCAAGCATCACCTTTATTTTCTTTACCTTTGTATATCAAAAATCTCATAAGTTCACAGAAATTTGAAAAAAGAGATAGCACAGAAAAGTCTTGTGTGTCCTTCATCCAGTTTCCCCAATGGTGATAGTTTGTGTATAGTACAAAATCAAATACAGTAAATTGGTGATAATACCATCCACAGACCTTATTCAAATTTTACCATTTTACATACACTAATCTGTGTATTTGTATAATTATATTTACATATAAAATTCCATTACAACAATTAAACTCCAATACACAACTCTCCCATTACCCCAAAAATCCTTTACGTTACCCTTGATAACCACACACAACACTGGCTTCCTCCCTATCTTATATTGACCACTAAAATAACAAAACCACTAGACTAGAATAAGTTATGCACATGTAATGTAATATCTAAAACAAGTACTAAAAGATTTATAGAAAGATATACTCAAAACCACTATGGATAAATAAAAATAAAATTTTAGAAAATGTTTACGTAACACTCAGATATGCAGGAAAAAAAAACAAATAAATTTTTAAAAAACCAACAAAGAAATCAAACAGAAAACAGAAAAGGAAAAGGAAGATTTAGGCCCTATTATATAAATAATTACACTAAATACAAATGGTTTAAGTTTATAACTTGACAAGTTTGGCATAGTGGATAAAAAGTCAACAAACAAAAAATAATCAACTATTTGTTGTCTATAAGAAGCTCACTTTAAATGTAACAATATAACAATACAAGTCAGTTTAAAGTAAATGAGTGCAAAGTTATATAACATGAAAGCATTAAACAAAAAATATTAATAACAGTTAAAGGAGAATGCTAAGAAAATTGCTAGGGACAGAAAGGGACTTTACACACAATTAATATGTAAGTCTAACAAAAAGCATAGCAATCTTAAGTATGTACACAGTAAAAACAAAGCTTCAGAATACTTGAAGCAAAAACTGATAAAACTTAAAATAGAATAAACAAATTCACAGTTATAGTTAAGAAAAAAACAATCACTGAGAAATTGATAGTACCACTAGACAGAAATTATCAAGGCTATGAAAAAAACAGAACACCATCAACCAACAGACTGTAATTGTCATTCATATAACACTCCACCAAACAGCAGCAAAATACACATTCTTTACAAGTGCTTATGAAATATTCAACAAGATAGATCACATCATTTGCCATTAAAAAATCTAAACAAAGTTAAAATAACTGCAAATATACAGAGTGTATTTTCTGGCCAAAATGGAAACAAATGAGAAACCCATAAGAGAAAAGTAAGAGAAAAATCTGCAAATACCCGGAAATAAATAACACATTTCTAAATAATCAAAAGGAATTCTAAAGACTATTAAAAATTACATTGAATGGAATGAAAATGAAAATATAACATATCAAAATTTATGAAATATGGCTGCTGCAGTACTGAGAGATAAATTTATAGCACCTAAAATTTACATTAAAAAAAAGAATATTATCAAGTAAAAAATCTAGGATCCAACCTCAAGAAAGTATAAAAAGAAGGGCAAAATAAAATCAAAGCAAGTTGAAGAATAAAAAAGAAAAAGATAAGAGCATGGCAATGAAATTTAAAATTAAAGTTCCAAGAGCAGTGTTTCACATCTGTAATTCCAGCACACTGAGAGGCAGAGACAGGTAGATCCCTTGAGCTCAGAAGTTTGAGACCAGCCTGAGCAACATGGTGAAATACAATCTTTACAAAAAAAAATTGTTTTTAATAACCAGGTGTGGTGGCATGCGCCTGGAGTAACAGCTACTTGGTAGGCTGACGTGGGAAGATGGCTTGAGCCTGGGAGGAGGAGGGTTGCAGTGAGCCGAGGTCATGCCACTGCACTCCAGCCTGGGCAACAAAGCCAAAAAAAAAATAATAAAAATAGCTTAAAAATTAATGAAGTAAAAGCTGGTTTGTTAAAAATATCAATAAAATTGATGAACATCTAGCAAAAATGACAGAGAAAAAATATGACCGATATTAAGGAATGAAAGTGTAGATATACTACAGACCCCACATATATCAAAAGGATCATAAAGAGGCACTATGAACAAATCTATGCAAATTTGATATGTTAAATGGACAAAGTCAATGAAAAGTTTGAACTACCAAATTATACCCAAGTTGAATTAAATAATCAGAATAGTCCTATAACTATGTTTTAAATTCAATTTTTAGTTTAATACATTCCATAAAAGAAATATCTAGGCCTACTTATTTTTACTGGAAAATTTTACCAGATATTTAAGAAAGCATTAATATCACTCCTATACAATATCCTCTGGAAAATAGCAAGTAAAGGACACTTTTCAATTCATTTTATGAGAACAATATTTTATTAATCCCAAAACTACATAAAAACAAAAACACCAATTTCAGATCAATATCCTGCATTAAGACAGACATAAAAATTCTCAACAAATTATTAGCAAATAAAAAACAGCACTATATACAAAAAATAACCCATGACCTATGTTATTCCAGGAAAGCAAAACTGATTCAGTATTCAAGAATAAATCAATGTAACTCACCTTATTAACTTGTTGAAGTAGAAAAAACTCATTATCTTATCAAATGATGCAGGAAAAAAATGTATTTGACAAAATTTAACACCCAACAAATCTTTGGAATTAGGAAGTATATGTAAACCAATACTTCTTGGTAATATGTGTTGTGTTGAGGAGTGGGAGAGGAGGATTATTGAGAAGCATGAGGAAGCTTTCTGGGATAGTGGGTACATTTGCCATGATGACAGTGATAATAGTGTCTCAGATGTATACATATGGCAACACTTTTAAAATGTGCTCTTTATATATGTGTAGTTTATTGTATTTCAGTTATACCTCAATAAAGTTGTTAACTTGTGGAATATCACCACACCTTTCTGACCTTGGCCTGTTTCTTAATGTATCTATCAAGATTTTGATAAAGACGTATTATTACCTTTGCTTAGGAAAACATAATATAAAAATAGAGGTAAAGCTTACATACAAGATTTATCAGAATTGAAAAAATGACATGAAGTGGTATTGTCGATCCTAATTAGAATGTTATTCTAATCTCAGTGAAGAACATGGACACCTTTGATGTGTAGACACTAAATCTTCTACATTTTTCTTCTACCTTCAATCTTGACAGATGATTTTCCCTTTTCCTTCCTTGAAAAACTAGAAAATCATCAAAATGAACTTCTCTTCTGCCTACCTGTAATTGGCCAATCAGACAATCAATCAAATTCCCTAAGCTTGTAACCATCTACTTCTTTTATTTTTCTTTTATCTTATTTTATCTTATTTTGTTTCAATGGAGAAATCATATTATGTTCAATGACTTTATGTATGCTATAGATTCTACTGTTCTACCATCTTGATAATTTTATTACTCCAATAATTTCACTTCTGTTCTTCAGCAATATTGCATTTTCTAATGCAGGACCACACTTAGCATGAAAATGTCCACTACCCACTCCTGTTAAAAAGATACAAAAACAAATCCTCAACCTCATATCTAAATACTGTGACATTTCTCCTTTTCCCTTCAAAACCAAGAGATATTTACACTTGTGTGAAATGACTCAATACCCAATTAATCTTCCTGTAACTAGTGTCTGACTTTTACAACCTTCTCTACAACTTATTTATTGGTATCAAAATACCATCTTTAATGTTGACAAATGCAATAAGCACATTTTTATTTTTATTTCAGATATTTCACCTTCTTTCAATTCTCTTTTGGAAATACAAGTCTTGCCTTTTATATCATCAATCTTAGTTTTGCTCTCACTTCACTGTTCACAAATTTTCAGTTTACTTTGCTACATTCTCCTCCTCTGTCTATACTCTTAACTTCAAAATACCCTGGAGTTTGTTTCTTGGCCCTTTCTCTTTTTTCTGTATACTCATTTCCTAGGACATGTAAATTATTTGTGGACATTTGTCTTCCAGTTGATTTTTCATTACTTCCTAATACAAATTTCTTGCCTAGATCTTACTGAATATAAATCCTTTGTCTAGATTAATCAAAGAACACCACTCTTTTATTGCCATGTCACTGTAAGATATTCTACTTGAATGCAAGAATCACAGTAAAGTCCAAAAATAGATCTCTTGAGTTCACTCTTTTTTGAACATGTTTTCTAATTCTAATTTTACCGGCTAATAAGTGGCATCATTCTGCTCAGTGTAATCACTGCTTCCTTTTCTGTCATCTCTCACATCCAATTTATGTGTGAATGCAAGTCTTGTTTATTAAACTCAACAATATATCTCAAATACAAACATTTCCCTTCGTTTCCATTGCTATCATCATACTCATACTTTTTACTGGACTACTATGATAGTCTCCTTGCTGTTTGCATATAGTCACTCTTAATTTCCTCTATCTCAAACTGTATCTACAGTTAGAAAGCTCTTCTGTATGCACAGTTATTCCCCATAGCACTTGGAATACATTCCATTCAACTTACCCTGACCTTAATGACCTAAATGAGCTAACTCTTTCCTATCTCATCTGCCTTTTCTAGCAGCCCTTTCCCCTAGGTAAGCTATAGCACAGGTGGTCGTGTGCTTCTCAAAATGCCAAGCTCTTTCCTAGTATTAAACTTTGGTACATAACATTTCCTCTTGAGTGAAAGCTCCATCCTCCACTTTTGCTCTGGGTATCTATTACTGAATTACAAATGTTCTAACTTTTAGGAACTTAAAACAATAACCATTTAAAAACACCTCATGATTATGTGGATTGGAAATTGAGGCAGTCCTTGGCTGGCCTATCATTTTCTGCCACATGCATGAATTGGAGTTGCTCAATGACATTGAGTTCTGGCTGACCTAGTCTAGAGGCTGGTATCTCAGTGGGGGAAGGACTGCCTTAGCCAGCCCATTTTTTCTTTTGGCATAATTTTTGGATTTCCTCTCTAGCAAGGTACTTGAATATAGCCATTTAAGACTACGAGAGTGTTCAAGAAGATCTGTAGTGCAAGGTAGTCTATTAAAGCTAATGTCTGGAAACTTGCATTCACTTTTGCCACATTTTATTGATCAAAACAGACAGTATCCCTCAGATTCAAGACAAGGAAATATAAACTTCTCTTCTTTATATGAAAATTTTCAATAAATTTATAAATGTTTTTAATTCTGACACAGTCACAAAAGTAGATCTCATTTGGTAAATGTTTTAAAGTAAATATTATAACATTGCAGCTAAATGTATGAAGTAAAGAGCTTGAGAATTTGAGAACCCGGTGGACTATCAGTAGGGCTATAGCTTAGATAGGAAAAAGGGCTGTTAGATAAGGCAGAGGAGACAGACAAGAGTTAGATCATTTAGGACATTAAAGTCAGGATAAGTAAATTAGTAACTAAATATTGCAAAAATGTGATTCCCTAAGTAACACATTTAAATTGGATGTCTCCAGCAAAAGAAAAAATCATCAGGGTAAACAGACAATTCACAGAATGTGAGAAAGTATTTGCAAACTATACATTTGCAAAGGATCCAGAATCTACAAGGAGCTCAAAAAAAAAATCAGCAGAAAAAAAACATAATCCCATTAAAAAGTGGACAAATGACATGAATAGACAATTCTTAAGAGAATATTTACAAATGGCCAACAAACATATGAAACAATGCTAAACATTGCTAATCTTCTGAGAAATGCCAATAAAAACCACAATAAAATACCCCCTTACCCCTGCAATAATAGCCATTATTAAATATCAGAAGACAACAGATGTTGTGTGGATGTGGTGAAAAGGGAATCCTTATACATCCCTGGCAGGAATGTAAATTAGTACAACTTCTATGGAAAACAGTATGGAGATATCTCAAAGAACTAAAATTAGATCTACTATTCTATTTAGCAATACTACTACTGGGTATCTATCCAAAGGAAAAGAAGTCATTATATGAGAAAGACACCTGTGTATGTTTATCACAGCACAATTCACATTAGCAAAGTAATGGAACAAAACTAAGTGCCCATCAACTGATGAGGGGATAAAAAATGTGGACTTTTACTCAGCCATAAAAAAAATGAAATAATGTCTTCTGCAGCAACTTGGATAGAGTTGGAGATCATTATTCTAAGTGAAGCAACTCAAAAATGGAAATCCAAATATTGTATGTTCTCACTTAGAAGTAGAAGCTAAGCTATGGGTATGCATGGACATACAGAGTGGTGTAATGGACATTGGAAACTCAGAATGGGGGAGGGTGGAAAGGGGTGATGGATTAAAAAAACTACATGTTGAGTCACAATGTATACTACTTGTGTGATGGGTGCACTAAAATCTCATATTTCACCACTATAAAATTAATCCAGGTAATCAAAAACCACTTGTACCCCAAAAGCTATTGAAATAAAAACTATATATAAAGAAAATAAACAAATTGGGTGTCTCACCAATTACATTTCTTTCAAAGCATCGTTTGCTTGTTTATCAACATGTGCAGTATACTAGTAAAATGTATTTTTGTGGTTTTTATAAATTTTTGTCTTTTTCTATGCTTTATCTATTTGAAAGCAATTAATAAAGTGGCAGAGGGTGTCGATGTGTTTACCTCTGCCTCTCCAGTGCCTGACATAGTACTGGTAATATAGCTTGTATTCAGTAGATGCTTATTGAATAAATTCTTGTTTGGAATAAATAAAAATTGCCGCTTTATTAAAATTTTGTACATAAATGCAGAGCAGAGCATCTAAGAACAACTACTGTGAAAAATTTTAAAGAATTCAGTTGGTCACAAATTCAGTGAAGTCACTATGGCTATTAAGGGATTAGGTGACAAAAAAACTGAATAGGATGCATTAAAAATGAAAAGGTTAAATAGAGGAGTGGTGTTCCAAACGTGCCAGTCAGATCACATTGGCAACGTGAGTCCAGCTCTAGTCATATTTTTAGAGGGCTAGAGAATGACATGAGAATATGTAAGTGTGACATATGAAACACTTGAAGGAACTTGGAATGTTCAGCTTGTAAAAGCCTGAGGGACAAATATAATTGATATCTTCAAACGTTGAGCAGCTGTCATATGTAAGATTTTTCCCTCTACTTTTCTCAAGAACTTTGATTAATAATATGTCAAAAATATATTTTACAGTTAAAGTAATACTTAAGCAATCAGAATGATTACTCTATAAGAAAAAAAGAATTTTAAATGCTTCTGCCGGTTTTTCTTTAGGTTTTTATAGTTGCTTCTTCCTCTTACACCTGGGATTAGATTTGAAGCTTTCTTGGCATCTTTGGAGTGGTAATTACATTTGCTTTCAGTCATAAAATGCAGGCCAACTAAATACTCTATTGTCATATTAATTAATACTAAATAAATTAATATTTATTAATATTAATAAAGCAACTATACTGTTTAAAATTGGTAGTGAGGAAAATCATAGTGGACTGTATAGCAGTCACTTCTTATCAGAGAATACACTCAAGTGAATGAAAAGAAAGCTCTGCAAATTAATTAAAAACAAAAATAATAAATCACAACATCTAAATAGCATAGTTTCCATACTTGTATTTATATACCTACTAAAAACTCATCTCTACATACTCTTTTTTCAAATTTGTTATGATACATATTGTTGTTGAAGAGTTTTGACAGACTTTGAAGATTGTTGCAAAGTTTTGCCTGGGCAATTTATTAATTACTATTTTAAGCATCAGATACTTAGAATAGTGTTTATGCATTTTTAATAGTTCCTAAGCTGATTTCTTTCAGTTATATTTCCGGTTTGTCATTCTTTAGGTATTTTTCAATTTATGCCAACAAATTATCAGGAAGAAAATTAATATCAATAACCAAATTGAATGTTTCAGGTAGTTAATCCTATTGAATTAAAACTCATTTCTTGGTTTATTCTTTTTTATATATTTTTGTAAAAGCAATATTTAGCACAAAATAATAAAACTCTCCCAATTTCTTCTACAGAATAATTGAACTTTCTCCAGAACCTATACCTAGACTTAGTTAGGAGAATCTCTTTTTAACTTTGAAATTACCTCTTGTGAGGATCTTAGTGTCTGTAAGTGTCAGGGGATAGGGCAAAGAAAGTGAAGAGTTTGTTCTTATAGTCACTGCTATATTTCTAAGGTATGACAATCCTTAGGAATTAATTGAACTTTCAAGAATGAAGCCTGCTTCAATGTTAACCTCTAATAATGTTAGATTTAGTTCAAAATAAACCCAACCCTTTAAAATTTTTAAGAAGCTTTTTAAGTATGCTCTTGTGAAAGAATCTTAGTACTTTGCAGTTAAATTATAGCAAATCTGGCTAGTACTATACCGTGAAATGTCTTGTCACTGTACTACATGTAAGAAGACTTAAGACATCCAGCTTCTCGTGTCTCTGCTTCTCTCACCACAAAGCAGAGAGGACATTTACACAGATGCAGTTTTTTTCTAAACTACTTTGTTGTTCTTTTTAGAAATTATTACTAAAATAATGATGCAATTTGTTCACAGTGGTATAATTCATAGTTTGTAGTGAAAATAGTAAGTGTAGTTACATGAAATGTGCAATGGTTTAACTGTTCCTTCCAGAACTCATGTTGAAACTTAATCTCCAATGTGGCAATATGGAGAAGGGGACCTGTAAAAGGTGATTAGGTCATGAGGGCTCTTCCCTCATGAACAGATTAATCCATTCATGGATTCATGGATTATAGGGTTAATGGATTATCATGGGAGGGAAACTTGTGGCTTTGTGAGAGGATAAAAATAGACCTGAGCTAGATGTTAGCACACTCAGCCTCCTCACTATGTGATCTTCTGCATCATATTGGGATGCCACAGAAAGCCCTCACCAGCAACAAGGCCTTCACCAGAGGCACTCCCTTCACCTTGGACCTCCCGGTCTATATAACTCTAAAAAATTAATTTATTTTCTTTATAAATTACCAAGTTTTAGGTATTCTGTAATGAGTGACAGAAAATGAACTAAGACAGCATGTGTAATACAATGTGAAGAAGTGTATGAAATATAAAGAATAGACTGAAAGGCAAAATGATTTAATTGTCCATGTTTTATTAACTAAAGGGAACTTGTACTATAATTAAGACAATGTTCTCTCTTCTGTTCCTATTTTATTTTATTTGAGTTCATAAATTTCCCATATCATCTCGCTCCATGCTGTGTGAGATCTATTTATTTTTTACTTCTTGATCTTATTACTAGTTTTAATATTTGCTTGTGTCCTTACTCAAAATCTGCCTTGATATTAAGAGTCAAACACCAATTGATTTCTTGAATAACTTTTGCTCCTCCGCCATGATCATATGGTATTTATATATCAGAAAAATAATTTAAAAATACACAGTGAATGGCTTTAATGCTAAATAATTCCAGCCTTTCCAATTTGAGCACTTTATCCATGAGTTTTCTGAAGTGCCTGAATCTGTCTGACTCCTTCCTTCACATTCGGTGGAGTATGGTGATGGACATGCCTAGTATTACACCTAAGTTTCCTTCTCCAACCAGCTCCATTATTGGAAAGCAAAAGTAGATGGCATAAAATTTTAACCTTAAATGAGTATACATCTCAAAAAATGCCTTTTTTAAAAAAAAGGAAAATTTATTGATAGTACCTAATATATCTTCATGTTGGCAAGTCTCCACTGTCTCATAAAGGTTTTTAAATACTTTGTTCTTTTATAGCAGTATTAAGAAAACACATTTTATGTGTTTTGCATATCTCTTTGCCTCTTTTAATCTATACAATCTCCTCATTTTAAAGACTTTCTTTTAGGCTGAGCGCGGTGGCTCATGCCTGTAATCCCACCACTTTGGGAGGCTGAGGCGTGTGGATCACCTGAGGTCAAGAGTTTGAGACCAGCCTGCCCAACATGGCAAAACCTCGTCTCTACTAAAAATACAAAAAATTAGCCAGGCATGGTGGCAGGCACCTGTAATCCCAGCTACTTGAGAGGCTGAGGCAGGAGAATCGCTTGAACCTGGGAGGCAGAGGTTGCAGTGAGCTGAGATTGTGCCAGTCTGGGCGACAAGAGTGAAATTCCATCTCAAAAAAAAAAGAAAAAAAAGAAAAAGTATTTCTTTTCAACAAGAAATAATTATTATGTCATTTATCTTATATAATTTTTGAGCTAAATTGCATCCCTATGATATCATTTAACATATTCCTCTATTTCCTTTATTTTATATTAATGCATTAAATTGAAGGGCTTGATCAAATTCAACTTTGACTTTTTAGAAATACCTTATGATGCACAATGATGTCTGGTCATCTCTCCTTTTTGCAATCCTCAGATATAAAGTTCTATATCAGCTTTTCACTTAATGTTTCAGCAGTCATTGTAGGTCATTAGCAATAGCCCAGTATCTTATTAAGGGACAAAAAATGGTGATGGTCCAACATTATTAGTTTTGCTGTGGATATCAGCTGTTATTCCATACAAAAGCTTTCTTCGTTAACTATTTGATTACCATTAAATACATTCGCAGCCAGGCGCTGTGGATCATGCTTGTAATCCCAGCATTTTGGGAGGCCGAGGCAGGCAGATCATGAGGTCAGGAGATCGAGACCATTCTGGCTAACACAGTGAAACCCCGTCTCTACTAAAAATACAAAAAATTAGCCTGGCGTGGTGTCAGGCGCCTGTAGTCTCAGCTACTCAGGAGGCTGAGGCAGGAAAATCACTTGAACCAGGGAGGCAGAGGTTGCAGTGAGCCAAGATCGCGCTACTGCACTCCAGCCTGGGCGACAGAGCGAGACTCTGTCTCAAATAAATAAATAAATAAATAAATAAATAAATAAATAAATATTCACACACTATTAAGGAATGATGAATTCTTCAGTGTCTACTCTTAAGCATCAGTTTCCAGAATTATGCATTTTTTCCCAAGCAAGCTTCAGTGGTGATCAATGAGATTTTCCAGATTATTATGAACTCATGGGTTTTTAACATTTTTGCAATGTTCATTGCAGTTATATTATTTGATGTTTAAATCATGCTGTTTTAAACTAGTAAAGCCCCTTTACTTTCTTACTGTGACCTTCCAATAGGATTTTTATAGCCTTTGATAGTTTCTTTGTTTTGCAATTTGGTATAAAAATATTTCCAGGCTTACATTGTACAGTTCTTATCACAGGGAAAACCTGTCATTTCTCCAAGAAGATTTGGTTTATTTGACTATGAAGTGGTATTTAGAGACCACAATCTGAATTCTCTTTATCTGGATTTACCATTACTTTCAGACCTTTCCTGTGTACCAGTTAGAAAATATGTATTTTATTGCATAAGAGAAAATAATCACACATAGTTTGTACACTAATTGAAATTAAAAATTAACAGTAAAGGATTTCTTTGTCTTTTGTTTTTTTCACTCTTAGTTATTACTCTGAAAAATCTTCTTTCCTAAGAACACTAATATAATTGCTTATTTTCTACCTATTTGTCTATCTACATATAAATCTTCAAAATAATAGTACTAATATTATTAGTATTAACATGATCAACAAATGCTGTTTAATATTTTATTTCAGCTCCTTTTTAACCTTGATATATCCCAGGAAAGATGTACAGTCAAGTCATACATAACAACATCTGAGAAAAATCCCCAACATGTCTGCCAGACCAGTCCATGTTACACAGCCTGAGTGGCTGGCTGCACTTTTTTATCCTTTCTTTCTTTTAACTTTTATTTTAGATTTCGGGGGTACATGTGAAGGTTTGCTATATAGGTAAACTTTTGTCATGAGCATTTGTTGTACAGATTATTTCATCACCCGGATATTAGGCCTATTGTCAAATAGTGATTTTTTCTGCCCCTTAACCGTCGTCCCACCCTCCACTCGCAAGTAGAGACCAGTGTTTGTTGTTCTCTTTTCTTTTCTTTTTTCTTTTTTTTTTTTTTTTTTTTTTTGAGACAGAGTCTCCCTTTGTCACCCAGGCTGGAGGGCAGTGGTGCGATCTCGGCTCACTGCAAGCTCCGCCTCCCGGGTTCACGCCATTCTCCTGCCTCAGCCTCCCAAGTAGCTGGGACTACAGGTGCCCGCCCCCACGCCCGGCTAATTTTTTGTATTTCTTTTTGGAAGAGACGGGGGTTTCACCTTGTTAGCCAGGATGGTCTCGATCTCCTGACCTCGTGATCCGCCGGCCTCGGCCTCCCAAAGTGCTGGGATTACAGGCGTGAGCCATCGCACCCAGCCTGTTCTCTTCTTTGTGCTCATGAGTTCTCATCATTTATCTCCCACTTATAAGTGAGAACATGAAATATTTGGCTTTATGTTCCTGCGTTAGTTTGCTAAGGATAATAACCTCCAGCTCCATATGCTTTTCTGCAAAAGACATGATCTCATTCTTTTTTATGGCTGCATAGGATTCCATGGTGTATATGTACCACATTTTCCTTATCCAATTTGTCATCGTTGGGCATTTAGGTTGACTCTGTATCTTTGCTATTGAGAATAGTGCTGCAGTGGACATTTGTGACTGCACATTCTTTCAAGATTCTCTTGTGCCTTAGGGAAATCATCAATGTATCATTAGCTTCAGTTTCACTGTTGCTGCTACTTCCAAATGGTTTATTTTTTCCCTAGGTTATTGTCAATGCCTTGTAATACTTGTGTAGGTCATAAATGTGCAGTGTTTTTAAAGTTATAATTTACATAAAGAAATACTTTTAAAAGCTTTTAAAAAGAAAAAAAGTACAGTCAAATTACCATGTTTTAAGGTAATTCAAAACTATTCTTGCATAGTTAAGCCATCAAATTGATATATAATTTAGTTTAGTTTTATTTATTTTTTGCTGTTTTTTAGGGTTGTTTTATTAATTTAAGCTGAATTTTATTTTATAATTATACAAAATAATTAGAAGCCTCTAAATTGTAATCCATAAGAGAAATTACATACAGAGAAGTGTATTGTTTGGTAATTTCCCTTTTTCTGATGTTTCTATGGTGTACATAACACTTTTCACTAGTTTTTTTGTTTTTACTTACATTTATAAAATAAGAATATTTCTTATATATATATGTACACGTGTATATATTTACATCATTTTATATATGCATGTTACCCCCTTTCAGAAACGAAAGGTAGCATAGTAATAACATTAGTCGGCACCTTTAAAATATTTTTTAAAAATTAACTTATAATCATCTAGAAAAATATTTCTCATTCTTTTTAGTGATATATAGTACTTCACTCCACGGATATACCATAGTTTATTAAACCAGTCCCCTGTAGATGAACATTTTTATTATTTACTCTTTTATGGACAAACTGGACAAAAACATATAGCCTTTTGCATATGCCACTTTAGAATTTTGCCTGGATAGCCTTAAAAGAAGGGTTGCTGTTTTTTTCAGGTATTCCAAATTTACTTTTCATAGATGTTGTATATAGAAATATTTTCTTCAGCAGTATATAAATATGTATTTCCCGACAATCTCTCCAATGGATTATATTGCTAATCTGTTAACATGTTGTTTAAAGGGAATTTTTTTGCATCTAGAGTTGAAAATGAATCCTTCTATTAGACAAAATATATTCAAGTCATTGTCTATTCAAGAACTTTAAATAATATTTTTGCCTTTAGAGGCTCAGTGAGTATATGACTTTTAACAGTCATACTGACTTTTGAAAAAGGCTAATCTAATCATTTGGGCATCTTCCAGTAAAATATCTCTGGGAGGAGTGATAGCTCAAGAAGATATATAGCATAGTACTTTACTTGACTTCAGAAGGCCTAAAAATTTAAGAAAACTTTTAGCAATAGAGCCTATGCTGTAACCTTGATCCAGCATGAAATCCACATCAGTACTACTCTCTAATTTCCTAGAGTGGAAACCTTTGGATGAACTTCTAGTTACCTCTATTTAAAGGGATAATTAGGGAATAGCCTTCTTCCATAAGTGAGCATGAATGAGAGCCTACAGAGTTGGATTATTAGTACTTTTTTAGCTATTATCTTTGGGCCTTACTGGTGCCCTCATCACTATAAGGTATGCATGTTATGCTTTACTCATCTGTGTCATGGCCTATTCCCTTGGGAATCATCTCAGAACAACAGAGTCACTGGAGGGTTAAAGAGTGTGGATGGCAGCAGTTAACCACCACAATGCACCTGTCAGATGTCCAACTGGCTCACATATCACTGAACATAAGGCTGATTGGCTCTCTGCCCAGATATTCTAGTGTATCCTGAATGGTGCCATATTGACAATTATGGATATGCAAAATTGTTCACACATTTAAGGTCAAGAGCAACTTATTTTGGGCTCATATCTTTATGCAATTTATTTGATGGCATATGGGGTCATTTTGGAGTCTAGTCCCTAGTGGCAAGAATTGCTGTGGCAACTAACTTGTTCTAAATTGCTGTTGCTGTTTAAATAGTTTAAAAATTAATTATCCTTCTAGATTTCAATGATGATTTTGAATAATTATTCAGGGAAAATTGGGAAATAATGTAAATTAGCATCTAAGTTATAAAGAATAAATGTATTGGTTAGAGCTGGGGGGACAATGATGGATGATTTCTGCTGAAAACAATAGTGTCTATTTGACAATTATGTGTTGTAAAACAACATAACAGCATGAAACTAAATAATAAATTTATCCTCCTGTAAACCTTGTAAGGGGATTCCCAAAGAAATAATTATCTATTTTCTGATTTCACATTGAAGATAAACTACCATAATGTGCTATGGTGATCTTTATTTTTTTACAGTCATTCTAGACAGAGTATTTATTTTGTGTATTCATGATAAGGACTCATGTCTTTGAATAGTGTTTTGTAGTTCTCATTGTGGAGATTTTTCACCTCCTTTGTTATCTGTATTCCAAGGTATTTGATTCCTTTTATAGCTATTGTGAATGGGACTGCATTTTTTATTTGACTCTTAGCTTGGATGTTGTTGGTGTATAGGAATGGTACTGATTTTTGTACATTGATTTTATATCCTGAAATTTTGCTGAAGTAGTGCATCAAGTCAAGAAACTACTGGACAGAAACTATGGAGTTTTTTAGTTATAGAATCATGTTGTCTGCAAACAGGGATAGTTTGACTTATTCTCTTCTTATTTTGATGTTTTTTATTTCTTTCTCTTGCCTGAGTGCTCTAGCTAGCAGTGGTGAGAGAAGCCATCCTTGTCTTGTTCCAGTTTTCAAGGGGAATGCTTCTAGATTTTGCTTCAATCAGTATGATGTTGGCTGTAGGTTGGTCATAGATTATTATTGTTATTATTACTCTTATTATTTTGAAGTATGTTCTTTCATTTTCTTGTTTGCTAAGAGTTTTTAACATGCAACCCTGCTGAATTTTATTGAAAACCTTTTCTGCGTCTATTGAGATAATTGTGTGGATTTTGTTTTTAGTTCTGTTTATGTGATGAACCACGTTTATTGATTTTCATATGTTGAACCAACCTTGCATTTCAGGGATAGAAGCTGACTTGATAGTGGTGGATTTGCTTTTTGATGTGCTGCTGGTTTCAATTTGCTAGTTTTTTGTTGAAGATTACTGCATTGATGTTCATGATAGATATTGGTCTAAAGTTTTTTTTTTTGTTTTTGTGACTCTGCCAGGTCTTGGTGTCAGGATAATGCTGGTCTTATAGAATGAGTTGGGGAGGAGTTCGTCTTCCATTTTTTGGAAGAGTTTCAGTAGGAATGATACTGGCCCTCCTTTATATATATCTGGTAGAATTCAGCTGTGAATCTTTCTGGTCCTAGGCTGTTTTTGATTGGCAGGCTTTTTATTACTGATTTAATTTTGGAGCTCATTATTGGTCTGCTGAGGAATTCAATTTTTTTCTGGCTGTATGTTCCAGGAATTTATCCATTTCTTCTAGGTTTTCTAGCTTGTGTGTATAGAAGTGTTTATAGTAGTCTCTGAACTTTTCTTTTTTCTCTTGTATTTCTGTGGAGTGGGTGGTAATGTCCCTTTTGTCATTTTTGATTGTATTTATTTGGATCTTCTCTCTTTTTTTATTCCTTAGAAATGACACAAACAAATGGAAAAACGTTCCATGCACATGGATAGGAAGAATCAATATCGTTAAATGGCCATACAGTTCAAAGAAATTTACAGATGCAATGCTATTTCTAAAAACTACCAATGACATTCTTTACAGAATTAGAAAAACTATTTTAAAATTCATATGGGCTAGGAGCAGTGGCTCATGCCTGTAATCCCAACATTTTGGAAGGCTGAGGTGGGAGGATCACTCGAGCTCAGGAGTTCGAGACCAGCCTGGGTAACATAGTGAGAGCCTGTCTCTATGAAAAAACAAAAAATTTGTTCAGGCATGATGGTGTGCACCTCTAGTCCCTGCTACTCAGGAAGATGAGGCAGAAGGATCACTTTGAGCCTGGGAGGTTGAGGCTGCAGTGGGCCATGACTGTGCCACTGCTCTCCAGCCCAACCACCACCACCAAAAAAAAAAAAAAAAAAAAAAAAAAAATTCACATGGAACAAAAAAAGAGCCAGAATAGCCAAGAAAAAATCTGGAGGCATCATGTTACCTGACTTTAAACTCTACTACAAGTCTACAGTAACCAAACAGCATGCTACTAGTACAAAAACATACACATAGATCAATGGAACAGAATAGACAGCTCAGAAATAATGCTGCACACTTACGACCATCTGATAACCATCTGATCTTCAACAAAGTCAACAAAAAACAAGCAATGAGGAAAGGACTTCCTGTTCAATAAATGGTGCTGGGAAAACTGCCTAGCCATATGAAGAAGATTGAATCTGGAACCCTGCCTTACATCATATACAAAAACTAGTTCAAGATTGATTAAAGATGTAATTATAAAACCTAAAACTATAAAAACCATGAAAGATAACCTAGGAAATGCCGTATTGTAGCATTCTGGACATAGGCCCTGACAAATATTTCTGGACAAAGATGCAAAAAGGATTAATGGGACCTAATTAAATGGAAGAGCTTCTGTACAGCAAAAGAAACTATCAACAGAGTAAACAGACGGCCACCAGCATAGGAGGAAATATTTGCAAACTGTGCATCCCATAAAGGTCTAATATCCAGAATCTATAAGGAACTTAAATGAACAAATATAAAACAAACAGCCCCATTAAAAAAGTAGGCAAGGAACATGAGCAGACACATTTCGAAAGAAGAGATACACGTGATAAACAAGCATATGAAAAATGCTCAACATTACTAATCATTAGAGAAATGCAAATCAAAACCACAATGAAATACCATGTCACACAAGTTAGAATGGCTATTACTAAAAAGTAAAAACATAACAGATGCTGGCAAGGTTGCAGAGAAAAGGGGTGGCTTATACACTGCTGATGGGAATGTAAATTAGTTCAACCTTTGTGGAAAGCAGTGGGGCAACTTCTTAAAGAACTTAAAACAGAATTACCATTTGACTCAGCAATCCCATTACTGGGAATATTAATCATTTTACCATAAAGACACATTCATGTGTATATTCACCACATCGTTATTCACAATAGCAAAGACATGGAATCAACCTAAATGCCCATCAGCGGTAGACTGGATACAAAATGTGGTACATATACATCATGAAATACTGTGCAGCCATAAAAAAACAATGAGATCATGTCCTTTGCAGCAACATGGATGGAGCTGGAGGTCATCATCCTAAGCAAACTAACACAGAAACAGAAAATCAAATACTGCATGTTCTCACTTATACTTGAGAACTAAACATTGAGAACGCATGGACATAAAGAAGGAACCAGCAAACACTGGAGTATACGTGAGGCTGGAGTGTGGGACGAGGGAGAGAATAAAAAACTACCTAAGCAGTAATATGCTTATTACCTGGGTGACAAAATAATCTGTACACCAAACCCCAGTGACATGCAATTTATCTATATAACAAACTTGCATATGTACTGCTGAACCTGAAATAAAAGTTTAAAAGTGATAATAACAAAATAAATGCTACCTACTGCCAAAAAACTCTTCTTATCCACTTAAAAACTATGCAATTAATTTAATTTATTTTTTTGTAACAACAATTTTCTGCTACATCGTCCCTTGTGTCAGAAAATTCTTGTACTTTGGGACATCCTGAGAGTAGATTTATTGAGTGAATAAATCCCTCTTTGAAAGAAAGTCCAGATATTTCTTAGGTTTTACTTAAATGAGTAAAGGGGATATTTATTTTTTAACCATTCTTCAACCATTATCCAGATAAAATTCTTGTTAAATTAATTGTTGAAATTATTCTTAACTTTTCCAGGTCAGTTGTTAACTTGGGTAATATTATGTTGATAAAAATTTGGTGACTGAAATAAATTTTCAGGAAATTTTCACATACCTTTGTATTATCTTCTTCAATATCTTGTCATTATTCAAAGAGCTTTTGTCATTTTACTGTGAGCAATAATGAACTCATAATAGGTAAAATGACTCATTTTATTTTGTTTTATGTCACTTCTTATAATAATATCTTAGTCTAAAAGATTACTTCGGTTGATTCAGAGTTCTTACAAATTTTATTAATGTTCTATTATTATTTTTAGTTATACATGCATTTTCCCAAATTTGCTTTATCTCCACTTCAATATGGGGTATTTATACTCCTTGTTCATTTGCTACTAGTTGTGAAGATGCTACCTGCTGCTGACTTCAAATGAATCCTTGATTATTCACTAAATCTTGTGGAACATTTAGCTCTACTAAACACTTTTTAAAAAGCACACGGAAACTCCAAAATAAAGACACTTTCAAATAACTTACAAAATGAAGGCCATTATTATGGCTATAGGTTAATTTGTCTCTAATGCTTCTGTTTCTATTCTTCCGAGTCTTGTAGAACCACATTTAACTAAACTTTATCTTGGACCTGGGGCTTCAATTTAGGTATGCTTTTCCCCTCATTGCTGTTTGAAAGTTAATTTATTTCTCAATACCAAAAATTCAAATTATTTTTCTTTTCTCTAATTCTTATTTTTTTCAAATATTCTTTAAAAACAAATTTCTTTAAAATCTTATTTTTCTAAAACCAAACTTTCTAGTTAATGGTCCTCCATTCTGATTTTATTTCATATTACTTCTTATTAACATGTAGATACTTTTAAGCCAGCCTTGCTAATTTTGTATTGCTTATAAAAGTTTTTAAATTTTTAAATGAACATATTATGTATCTCAAACCAAATTGCATATTTCTGTATTTTTCATTCCATATCTTTAACTATTATGAATGGATTCAGCATACTGATTAACTGTAATTATTCATAAAGTATTGTTGATAGAGTTGAAGTCCTTAATTTTGTATGTACCAAAGGTAAAATATTGAGAAAAGATATGTAAAACAATACATGTGAGAGTAATCATATATTATCTTTTCTCTCTTGGACTATAAAAATATATATGAGACATTGATGAAAGAAACACTCAGTATGATAAAGTGAAGGCAGATCCCCAAATTCTTCACCCCAACTTGAATCCACATCCTTATCATTGCCTCAATTTTGAGATATTGTATTTCTCCACTTTTTGACTTTTGGACTTTGGCCTATGGCATGAGGCAGTAATGACAGTGTGGTGGTGATGGACCAAAAGAGGTCTCATGTGATTCTACTCTCTCTGTGTCTTTCTCTTGCCATGAGAACAACACGCCCTGGCTAGTCTATTGGTCCACTGTGGATCTACTTTATGATAAATAAACGGATGAACTTGGTTTCGTCCTGGTTTACCATGTACTATGTCACCTAGAAGTTGCTAGACTAATAGAACATTGGCATGGACTCCTAAAGTACAACTAAGACATTGGCTTGGTGATTAAACCCTGAACAATTTCAAGACTCTTTGAGCCTATGGCTATCATATGGTACTGAGTTATGTTTGTTAGGTAGAATGCAGGTGTCTCAGAACCAGGTAATCAAAGAAGTACCCATTTGGATAATTTCTATAGTTATGTGCCTACTGGACTAGAGGTTCAGGTTTTCATGGAGGAGCAAGTCTATTAATGGACGGAATAAACATCCCACTAAAACAAAAGCTAAGGCTGCCACCTGATCATTTGTGTTCTTCATTTCAGCAGACCAGCAGGCCAAGAAAGGTCTTATTAATCTTGATTAATCATGAAGAAATAGTTGTTACAATCTGTTGAAGGCAGTAAAGTATACCTGGAAGTTGAGAGAGTCACTTTGAAGCCATGTATTGTTTCTATATCCATAATTGTGATTCGACAATTGCGCCAATCAGACCTAGCAATAGCGTGGTAGCAGGAGATTCCAACCTCTTTAGGAATATAGATTTAAGTTGCTTCACATTGCAAGCAACACAAATCAGCAAATATTCTGGTCAGGCATGAAGAGCATCAAGATAATTGGCAGAAGAGGAATATGATGAATATTAGTTATTGTCTCAGGATTATACACTGCAGTATGGATTTAGCTTGGCACACTAATACTTGTTTTAAGTCCTTTCTTCATACATTGTCACTGCACACCACCTTTAAGGAGGAGTTACAGGTTGGAATGGATTTAGTATGGTGCATGAGTAGATTTGATCTGGGGCCACGTCAACAGAAAATACATTGTGTTCACCTTCATCCGCTTTCTCATCCTATATCTGTGCAAGTAGCCCAGAACTCCAAATGCAGAACCTGCATCTCTGTCTAAGGGCTTCTGCTCTCAGACAAGCTCTGCCCATGGGTGCAGCAGGCCAAAAGTGTCAACCGTCTCAGGTTCCCTCAGGAGGGATCCTCAGCCAACAATGGAAAGTGCAAAAATATCTCAGATCTTTTGCCCTCTGTGGCATTTCAGTGAGGCATTTATACTACTCTGGCTTTCAGAGTTCCCCAGCATGATCAATGTCAGGTTTCCCACGGTGATAACGTACTTGAATATGTGCCTTTAATTAGCTGCCTTCCCTCTCCTTTTACTCTCCCATTCCCTATTGTCTTCAGGGATTACCTACCCAATACATTGTTGTGCTCAAACCTCATCTCAAACCAAGATACAAATCTGAAACACATATTTACCATTGTCTCCCATAGAAACATATAACACAGTATTTTTACCTTATAATCTGGTATCAGTATTTTGTATATTATTTTAACATGCGTACATAATTTCATAATTATATCCTCTCAAGAACTATAAGATATACCCTAGTATTTACAGGACCAGTAAAGAAACCAGCTCCAAATTACAAACTTAACTACATAATGCAATGCAATAATGGAAGAAACAGATATAGAAATAAGTTTCGCTGATTCTTGATTTGGAGTCTCTCAATTATGTTTTTTTGCCAATTCCTATGTTAATAAAAAAGCCTGATGCTTACTTGCACATTCACTTTGAACTTTTAAGAGACAGCATGTGCTTTATATATTATAAGTGGTTCTAATCATGTAAAAGCTGTTCTGAAGAGAGAAGGAATTGTAATTTTATTTTTGAAAATGAAATTATCCCTGTATTTAAAGAGGCATAGATTGGGATTTACATATAACCTTAGTGCATGAAGGAATAAAATTAATAAGAATTTTAAAGTCTTCAAATAAGTATCTTGAGCAAAGTCTTCAATAGAAGGAGAATAACAAAGATAAATAATAATCATGCCTTATACTTACAAAGAACATGGTAAAGTAGGAGGTATTTTCACCCAGTATCTTGAGCCTCACAATGACTCTTGAAGTGAACAGTATAATGGCCATCTTCTGTAGTGAAGCATTCAGACTCCAAGTTGTCAAGTGGGTTATTCATTACTAAATGTATTTAGAAAGTGCTAAGGTGAAAACTACCAATTAAATTATAAAAAACTAGAACACTCTTTTATAAACCAACACTACGTATAAATAAAGTGTGAATTAGAGGAAATCCAATGCTTTGTATTTAACGTCTACCTCTGTAACCATTCTTATTCCTTAATTAGAAATTCTACTGAAGAAATGAGATCAAATAGCTTTGCATAGGAAAAAAAAACTTGTTTGGTGCATTGGATAGTATTTATATTGCAAACACTGCATGGGATTAAATATAGGAAAATGAGTATTAATCTGTATTCTCATTTTTAGTTCCCGAACAGAGAGTGAAATATGAGTTTCATGTCAGTTAGTATGAGTGAAACTTATCTGGTAAAGAGAAATTACTAACTTTCAACTCAGGACTCTCGATTCTACTATTTATAAGTAAGCAATTAATAATGTATCCTAACAATCTATATGATACACCATAATTAATGTTCAAATTTATTTCTGATTGAATTGACTAACATCATCATTTCATGAAAAGCCAATTCAATCTATGCAAAAAGTGAAAATGTTTTAACAGTAGGTAATTTCATTTTTAAAATCATAAGTGATAATTAGATAACTTACTTTCAAAAATAAAGTATTAGGTTTAAAGCAGAAAAAAAATTGGTATATATGGTATGAGATCATAGATTTTCATAAAGATAATTATCTATTATGCATTTTTTATCTCTGAAATTAAGTAGTGTTCATGAAGTGCATCGTAAAAGTTATAAAGTAAATTACAATAAAAATATTTAAATATTTTAACTAGTGTTGTATGAAATGAATTACATTTGTTTCAATCATAAAAATAAAACAATCTTAAAAGCTGTAAATATAGGTATATTTAATTCACCATTTATTGACATTTGAAAAAATGGCTATTTCAGTCACTAATTTAATTTCAAGGTAAGAATATTAACTTCAGAAAATAGATTACTTACCTGTTTGTCAGGGTGCATTTAATTCCTAGCTCAATTTCAGCTTATAAAGTCAGCAAGAAAATACTATATCATCCCACTTTTCCAATTTACAGAACGACAATTGTATAATTCCTTTAGTTTGAGAATGTGTCCAATTCTCAGTAATTTTTAATTCAAGAGGACTTTACAAACATGCATTTGAAATTAAAATGCCATTTTGCAACAATTTCATTATTTTTGTTGTAAAATACATTTTTAATAAATGCATAATTCTTTCACACTTGTATTACTAAATAGAGTATTTGCACAGCTCAATAAGTGACATTGTACCTATGCATTGTTCCTAAGTAAATTTCTATAACCCTATTATATTTGTGTATTCATACCACATATAAGTAATTTTTTAGGCTTGAAACTGAAATCATTAGCACTTATCCTGAATGCAGCTGTTTCTAATAATGAGTACAAAATTTAAAAAGTTAGAGAGTAGTAGTCAGATATAGTGTTTTAATTAAACATCAGATATTCGTTGAATAGTTTCCACAAGCTCCGTTTTGTTTTGATAAAGCATGGACATTGAATTAGGAAATAAGTTTGAATTTTATTCTTGCTCCTCGCTCAGTAACCAATTTGGGGGAAGCTTCTTAGAAGTCTTTTAGATTCAGTCTTTTTTTTTCTTTTTGGAATGTAAAACATCGGAACATCTAATTCATAGGATTTTTTTTTATAAATAAATGAAATAAATTGTGTAAAATACCAGTAACGGTGTTGAGCTTAAGAAAATTTTTATTCTGAACTTTGGGAGGCCGAGGTGGGTGGATCACGAGGTCAGGAGATCCAGACCATCCTGGCTAACACGGTGAAACTCTGTCTGTATTAAAAAAATACAGGCCGGGCGCGGTGGCTCACGCCTGTAATCCCAGCACTTTGGGAGGCCGAGGCGGGCGGATCACGAGGTCAGGAGATCGAGACCATCCCGGCTAAAACGGTGAAACCCCGTCTCTACTAAAAATACAAAAAATTAGCCGGGCGTAGTGGCGGGCGCCTGTAGTCCCAGCTACTCGGGAGGCTGAGGCAGGAGAATGGCGTGAACCTGGGAGGCGGAGCTTGCAGTGTGAACCGAGATCGCGCCACTGCACTCCAGCCTGGGCGACAGAGCGAGACTCTGTCTCATTAAAAAAAAAAAAAAGTTTTTTCTGCTTTAATTTAGCAAGATTTAGAAGGATATTAATATTAATAATTTATTTGACTTTTACACAAATTGTAGGAAACTTTGTATTGTAATTAAAATCCACAAGAGAAATAACTCATTGATTAGTACCAAGAAATTCATTTGGGACTTGTCTTTTCCTGAATGACTTAAATGTGTTCATTTGATTGGCACCATGACTAACCCAAAATCAAGAGTGACAGCAGGCCAATAGGGAGAAACAAGATGGCAAGTGCCTGCACAGAATGGAAGCTGCAGACCCGGATGTAAACTAGTAAGAATAAACTAGACTAATGAGTTGCTGAAGTCTGACTGTGACCTGGTGTGAGAGTGAGAAGCCCATAACGGCTAGAGATACAGGGAGAGGTTCACATTCTCTTTTAGGCTTTTCCTTCTGGAAATCCAAAAGGAGTCCACAGAGAAGATCAAAATGGATTATGAGAAGTCTCACCTGTGGAGCTGGCAGTGGGAGAGGAACAGTGGTCACTGTAAAAATTCACCCAGACTCATTTTCTTTATCTCTCTGATGTTACAAAAGTCTTAAGCTACATGGGGAAGGGAATCGAAACTCTAGGCTGAAGCCACTGGTAAAGTTCAGTACAAGTGAGGAATAAAACAGGAAGGGGGATACAGGGAGGGGCAAGAGGAGTTCTTCCACTGAGGAAGATCCAGGAATATGTGCTAGGTCCAGCATTATATATACCTAGAGAAGGGAGAGGGACATGTGTGAAGACCATACAACTGAGACATCCATGTACGAAGCTGGCCTAAGACTGAAGCTTTGTTGTAATATTAGAGAACTCAACCCCATTCCTGCAAGCCTTGACTAAAAATTCAGAATAGAATACAGCTGGGGCTGGGAGAACTGCAAGAGATAGCCCATGTCTGGGGCATAGGACAAAGGAAATACCAAACACCAGGATACTAAACCAAAAAATGTTAAGCTTCAGATTAACTGAAGGTTAAAATACTAACAACATCCTTTGTAACTATGTCTACCCTGGGTATAGAATTATACGTTGACATTGTTTTGTTTTAATACTTATACTTCAAATATGTTATTCCATTGTCTTCTTACTTTTTTGTTTCCAATGGGAAATCTATTTTCTTCTTTACTACACAACATGCCTTTTCTGATCACTTATAAGATTTTTTTAATCACTGGATTTAAACAATTTCATTATGACATAGTGTTGTGTGTGTTTCCATGTTTTGTGTGCTTGAATTTTGTTTAGCATTTTTTATTTTAAACATATAATAAAATATGAAAATTTGTGGCCAACATTTCTTTATTTTATTTCCCTTTCCTCTCTTTCAGAGACTCCATTTACTTCTATATTAAGCTATTTGAAGTTCTACTATACTTCACTGATGATCTGTTATGTATTTATTTATTTCTCCTTTCTGGCTGTGTTTTATTTTAAATAGGTTTTATTGCTAGCTCTTCAAATTCACTAACCATTTCTTCTGTAATGTCCAATCTGTTAATCTCATTCAGTGTATTTATTAACACACACATTATAACTTTCTCCCTAAAAGTTTATTTAGGTCTTTATTACATATTTCATCTTCCTTTAACTCTTTGAACATATATAATTTAGTTCTAATAACTCCCTTAGTGTCTTTGTCTGCAAATTCTAGCATATTCATCTGTTCTTGGAATCTATCAATTGCTATTTCTTCTTATTTGGGCGTGTTTTTTCTACTTGTTTTTGAGAGGTTTGTAGTATTTCATTCAATGGTAGGAATTAAGAATTTTACCTTGTTGCGTGCTGGATATTTTGCATTTACAAAAATATCCTAGAGCTATTTTCTGGGGGCACATTGAAATTAAGTTTGATCCTTTTCTGTCTTCAAAGATTTGTTGAGCGGTCCAAAGTAGTGATCAGATTTGGACTAGTTATTTCCTCACTACTGAGGCAAGAAGGCCTATGCACGTTACTCTTTGAGTCTTGAGGATTTTTCAATTTGGTTAGTGAGAACACAGGAACTATGACCAGTTCTGTATATGTATGCCAGGCACTGTAAACTTTTTCTGGTATTATTTCTTTTGACTGAAGTTGGTTTGTTTGTGAGCATGGACAGCTGAATACTCTAAGGCAACTTCTACAGAACTTTGTAGTTCTCTCTCTTGAAAATATCTACTGTATAATTATTTGTCCTGAAATCTCTAGTTTCCTTGTTCTCTGTAGACTCTCAGCTCCACCTCAACTCAGGAAGTTTGGCAGGCTTTACCCTGGTGTACTGGTCAATTTTCACACTGCTATAAAGATACTATCCAAGATTGTGTAATTTATAAATAAAAGAAGTTTAATTCACTCACAGTTCCACATGGCTGGGGAGGTCTCAGGAAATTTACAGTCATGGCAGAAGGAGAAGCAAGCACCTTCTTCACAAGGCATCAGGAGAGATAGAGTGCATGGGAAACTGCCACTTTTAAAACTATCAGATCCTGTGAGAATTCCTTCACTATCATTTGAACAGTATGGGGGAAACTACACTTATTATCCAATCACCTCCCACCAGGTCCCTTCCTCGACACATGGGGATTACAATTCAAGAATGAGATTTGGGTGGGGACACAGAGCCAAACCATACCTCATTTGCCTTCCCTGTGGGACAGATTCAAAATTCTCTCAAGAGAACAAACGGGGTTAATTTGTGGAGATTGCCTTATTTGTTTTTCATTTCTCAGGAATCATTGTTCCTTATTGTCTGATGTCCAGCATCTTGAAGAATATTGTTTTATATGTTCATTTTTCTGATGTTCAGGTAGAAAACATAAGTTCAGTGTCTGTTAAACCATCTTGATCAGAAGCAGACATCTCCCTCATTATTATTAAATAAAATAGCCAAGTGTGATGGCTAATTTTATGTGTTAATTTGACTGTGTCTCAGGGTGCCCAGATACTTGGTTAAACATTCTTTCTGAGTGTTTCTGGATTTTATTAGCATCTAAATTGATAGGCTAAGTAAAGAAGTGGCTTTCTCCAATGTGAGTAGGCATCCTCCTATCTGTTGAGGGCCTGAATAGAACCAAAAGGTAAAGGAAAGGAGATTTTACTCTCTGCCTGACTGATAGAGCTGGGAAATAGGTCTTCTCTTGCCCTTGAACTGGAACTTAAAACTATTGGTCTTCTTGGTTCTTAGGCCTTCAGATTGACACCATTGGAATGAAAGTACAATACAGTGAGACCAATAGGAATACACTTTTGGCTATCCTGGGTTCCAGCTTGCTGACAGATTATGGCACTTCTCAGCTTCCATAATGTATGGGCCAATTTCTTACAGAGGAAATATTTATGATACATATTATCTCTTTATCTCTCTCTCTCTCTCTTTCTCTCTCTCTCTCTCTCCGACACACAAATGTATATTTATACTATAGAAGACATATCGTTTCTTCTGTTATATCTCCTATGGTTCTGTTTCTCTGGAGAACCCTAACTAGTGCATCCAGTATGCCTGTGAGAATACACAGGGCACAAATTACCATGTGGAATAAAAGCACAACATCAAAAAATTGTGCAAACCCTAGGTTATTGTGAGAAAAGTTCCTTCTGTGACTGTGACTATAGAGCCCCCTCTATAATCCAAGGACTTCTACCATAAAATAAACATTGACACAAACCATGCCATAAGCTATGATTATGGTCTGGTCCTCTCTTCGTATTCATGTCTTTGACCACCTTATGATTGAACCAGGGTAGCTTATTTTTTTCCCCATTGCTCTCACCTAAGTAAAGCAAATGTGACTAAATCCCTAATTTTGATTGATGAGCATCAAAACTCAACTCCCCAGGCTCCTGAAAGCTGGCATGTCAAAGATTTTCCAGGACCATGTTGGGACAGTAAAATTAATCCTGTGAAAGACAGCCTAAATATACCAATTGGTGGTCCCAGTTAATAAATTATTTTGCATTTCTGGAATCTCTTTGTTTTTGTGTCATTTTTCTTTGCTCTTGCATATGCTACATTTAAATAGGCAGATTTAGTTTCAAGAGTAGACTCTCTAAATTTGCCATATTTGAAGCTATTAATGCTCCTATTTCTTACCATATTTTAAATTGACATTTATTAAGGACAATCATTTTTAATAATGAATTAGTCATATATATACATGCAAATGTGTGTATGTGTTTTTGTGTATTCAGTTACTCATATATTTAAATAAGATTCTAAAATGTATTATTTGAATGAGAAAACTTGAATGATATAATTACTGTCTCTGTATGTAGTCATGTAAATTTATACCAAAACTGAAGATATCTTCAGATTTATTAATGCTGTTTAGCAGACTTACTTAGCTAAGCCATATTAGTTACATTTGTTAAAATGCGTAGTTATTTTTATTACTAGTGTTTTGCTGTTTTGTTTTGTTAATTCAACCATATTACATTAGATTTGTTCATGATATAAATAAACAATCATCTAAATGTTTGCTGGAGGAAGTTTAAGTTTTAAATGTGAGTAGAAAGTTTCTGTATTAGTTAAACTTGTGGCCTATTGCTAACTATCACTTCAGTTACTCCCACAGATATGTAACTCACATAGCTTCAGTCTTGTTTAGTATATCCAATTTTTTGCCAACATTATTCTGTGATCCCATACTGTAAAACAATATGCTCTGTTCGCTAGTCTACATTTTTCTACATGCACAAACATACACACACATACACATACACACAGAGTATAAAATTCAGATAAAATATTGTTATCCTTCAGCAAGTTTTTTACCAGTTAATTCAGATCCAACAAAGACTTTCTTGGCAACTGCATATAATCACCTTATACTTCCAATCATATTTTACTTTTTACTCAATAGTAAATAGCTTTTTTCTTTCTCCAATTCATATTCTATATCTCTCTAGATGCATCATCTCTTTGTATGTCAGTCTTTTCCAAAAGACTTTAAGAAACTTTGGAGAGAAGTAGAGAAAATAATGCATACTGAGTTCTTGATATGTTATTATTTTACATACATTATTAAGGAAAACCTCTTAACTTGCATATGACTTAGAAGTTATTTGCACAATTTTACTATTGGTATAACTTAGACTCAAGAAAATTGGTTTTCAAAGGTGGGATATGATATGTAGCACAGACAGGATTTAGTTCCAGTTACATTCAATTCAAATATATATTTCTTACTCCTTGTCATGTTGGTTTATTTATATAAACTTACCCCTCATCATGTTTATTTATTTATATATATTTGTTGACTGAATTAATATCACCTCCATGTTTTCTCCTATATTGATTCCTCTATTCATTCATCTTTGTGTTTATTTCTCATCCCAAACATTGTTATTTATGCAAGACCATTTAGAATGTTTGGCACACATATTTTAGGGGTTAACAGATGCTTGTTCATGATAAATGCACTTTAGGAAATATATGCTTATTATTTTCTTAATGCATAAAATTTATTCAAGCTTTGGATTTACATGATAGCAGATAGGCCATAATATAGAAACCCAGAGGAAGGAGGTGCTTAAAATAGAGATGGGAAAATATGAAACCTATTTTTTTTTTCATCTATAGGGCATGTTGCAGTTACGGAAAACTCAACAAATAGCACTCCTCTAAATTTTTCAACTGAGTTTTGAGAAATAAAAAGTGGTAGATGGAAAACAAAAATTTTCGATTATAATTTATAAATAATAGATTTGAAGGCATATATTATATATTACATATGAGAACCAATAATGGGATTCTTAATAGCAAATATCAAAATTAATAGTTATTGAACCAGTAGACCTGCTCTCCTTAAGGAACAGCAGAGAATGACGTATCTCTTCAGATTTGCTTACTATAAAGAGAAGGAAAGGCATAGATGAGCAAAACATGCCTACTTAACTACTTCCACATTTACCAGTCATACAAAGTACTCCATCTCCTGTTAGCAGATTGAGTAAAAAGATAGAGAGAGGCTAGGAGTTAAGATAATTCAGAGCCCTTCTCACAGAATAAAACATCACACAAAAAGCATCTTTTTTTAACACTTCATAAGTTCAGTTAATATTTATGATCATTGGCTAAAAAACATATGGAAACAAGTTAATTCTAGATTTGTAATGATGATCATTAACCATATTTTACTACAGCAAAAATTATATTTCCAAAGATTCTAAAATTCATCAGGGATGTATACATAAAAGATAAAATTTCAGATAGAACTATTTTGATATACCTAAATTTGCTTCTGCATTAATGTCAAATCATCAGGCTAGTTGAAAGATAGGGAAATTATTCTCAGTGCATCTGCCAAGCAATTCTAGACAATTTGACTGATTTTTTAGGTAGTAAGTTCTGAAAACAGAAACTGCTAAAAGCTATCTGACCTGAATTTATTCCACAAAATTTTATTCCCATCTGAAAGTGTGCCTTTGATTTATTCTCTGTCACTGCTCTGTCTACACTAATGCACCATTATGCATAGCTGATGTTTCAGATGTATAACCATCATTCTTCTTGAAGCCAGAACTTTATGATTACGTCAGACATTGTCTGGCATAATCTATTTAGCTAGTGGATTTTACCTCTACAGTTTCTAATGAATTTGGAAGAATTACTTAAATATTTACTCTTCTCTGTTTAAAACTTGCTAGAACAAAGAGATTATGCATGCAGAAAGTGTGCAGGGGGGTTGAAGATAACAAATGATACATCAAGCCCAGCCTAATGTGGCTTTACTGGAGTAGAAACAGTGGTAATAAATCAACTGCCATTGTTGATAATAAAATACTGCATTGGCCTCCGTCAGCCACAAGAGAAAGGTTAAATGTTATTTCTCACAATAACCATGTGGTCTTCATAGCTGACACCTTTAATATTAAACCCCATCATTATTTTATATCCAAAACATTTGATCTTTATTCCTAATGGAACATTTTTATAAAGAACTACTTTGTAAATATCTAATATCCCTGAAAGAGTTTCATTCATTTTATGGTTATTTTACCCCATAAAAGTATCTCCTCTCTTTACTGTAAGACTACTGTTTTGTAATGGGTAGCTGTGGGAGGTTGAAATTCATTCTGGTCAACTGCAAAGTGATCTTTTAATGATTGACTTCATAGGAAGCCAGTGTTAGTGTAGGGTGGAAATTGAAATGTTATTAGTAAAAAAAACTCAGGGATTTATTTTCTAGTTTATTAGATCTAATCTCAATTTTGTTCATCTTGTATTCTAAGTAACTCATTTCAAACACCAACCTCATTTCTTGACCTATCTATACAATTATTTTTAATATGCTTTCTGTTAAGAATTAATTATTGCAGAGTAGGTTTGCAATGTGTGTTGATCTTAAAGGGGAAGGTATGCAATCTGTTTCAGAAAATGTAAATTTGAGGCTTTTATTTGTGAAGACATTGATGATATATGTACACATGAACTAAATGATTGCAGATCCTTCCAGCTGTGTTCGTAAATGAAATCACACTAACCATTCATGCCCCACCTACACCTGAACCACCTCCACTACCTGCTGCAATATTGCCCACTCTTACTTCTGAAAGATTTCAGACTGGAAACCTGTATCTACACTAATGCACCATTATGTGTAGCTGATGTTTCAGATATATAACCATCGTTATATTGTAATGGCCATAAGCATCTTTCCTGTGCTTCCTCTGTTCAAGAAGCCACTTTAAGGGAGATCGGCTATGAGTGCTCATCAAGATAACACTAATGTTCATCAGAATTGTTTTATGTTTGGCATTCACTAAAGAGCCAATCTTAGAGCTCTTAGAGTGCTCCTGGGCAATGTGCAGAAGTAGACAGAGTGTTTTCCTGTGCGATTCATTGCAGAAATGTGTTAACTGGGTACCTAAAGTGGCATTGCATGTGACCACTCACAGACTTACACACACTAATACTCATACCCCTCCACCAAAACCAGCAGTGATTTTCTGGACAACTCATCCCAAGGTCTTACTTTGAAAGTTTCTATAATAGACTATCTTTTATTTTACTTTTATTAGTCTTTTTATTTTACTTTTATTAGTCTATTATCTATAATAGACTATCTTTTATTGTTCTGTTTTTTACATGTTGTTAAATCTTCACACATGTTTTCTGACTACAGAATCTTTCAAGAAACCTAATTTGAGAATACAATCTGCTTTTTACTACAGGATTGTCAGCAACTCAAGTATAAGTGCTGTTAACTTTCTTTCTCACAGCTGTATGCTCAACAATTCCTGGCATAAGTGAACGATCCTCAGGGTTGTTTCTGGCAGAGGTATTTGTTTTTGTTTGTTTCCTGGGCTGAAAGTGGCAAAGATTAAATCCATTTTAATCCCTGCTGTATCTTCAGCATGGTCCTGACATTGAGTACTTTTAAAGAAATACATAAATAAATGAAGGCAATTCGGGTAATTTTTCCAAGATGTATCAGTCTAAATAAAAAGATAATTCAATATTCTATATCATATCAAATTATAAATAATGCATATATTTGAGATTATGGCTTTTCAGTTTTCTGCCATCACCAATAAGTTTTGAAATATATGCGATCAATGATCAGTTTTAAACAGAGGCAAAAGTACCTGTTTATGTCATAGATAATGGAAAACAGAACATTTCTCCAGCATATAGCTTAGACACTAGAACTCATTTTTGTAAAGATGATGAAGAGCTTGTCATCCTTATTTTGTTTTGTTTTTGCAGCAATCCCTGATAGAACAAATATATAGACAGGTGGGACAGAGAACTCTCTAGATCTTACCATGCTACCATTTAGTTCTTACATATTTGAGTGTACAACCAATTGTTTACCAAGAACTTATGTCCTTCTTCTAATATTCTTGTTTTATATATTCTTCAATTGCACTCTTATTCTAGTGATAATATATTCGGGTGATTTGGGAAAGTGAGGTGCATGTCCTACTGAAATAGAATTCCAAATTTTGCACTTAAATTTGCACACATTTCAGAGGAAGAAAGCATTTATATTTGCCGAGTTTCTTAAGGGTTTTTAGGCCCAAATTATTAAGAACAATTTTTCTGTGTTTCCCATGTTCAGTTATACCATTTTATTCTCAGGCTAATTTTAAAGCAATACATTTTAAATTTGACACTCTTATCCTAAAAGGGTAATTTTCATAATTAGTTACCATACTACTTGTTTCTTCATAACCAGGAATTTTTCTAGCCAAACGTAACTAACAACAAATCTTTTGCTACCATATGTTGTTAGAGTTTGCAATGCCAATTTGTACATAATAATTTTATTTATAAATACTCAGAATATATTATATTACCTTGACACAATGCTTTATGTTAAATCACACCTAGGCCTTTGCCTGTATTATCCTTTAAATTTATTCCTGCCTTCAAGTTCCATATTGTTTTGTTTCATAAGAAAGAAATGCCCATTCCTTCAGCTTCCTTAATCTTTCAAGATGAAAGTAAGTCTCTTCTCCCTAACAACAGACATTAAACAGATTTTGTCTTTCTCTAAAGTCCAGACACAAGGTGCTGTGTCTCTTTGGGGAAATATAACCATATTTAATTTATATTGAATAAGATTTTTATAGTGGGAGCAGAGTGAATACAGGAGCAAGAAAAACGTCAATGAAATAATAGAAGAAAAATTTACAGAAATGTATAAATATTAGGGAATTTTTTTTTAGCTTGGAAGAGCTGTACTAACTGTGGAATAGCAGGAAAAGTAAAAGACCTCAAATCAAACACATCTTTATAAAAATTATATTAAGTATTACCTGATATTGCTCATCAAAACGTTTTTAAAAAATCAAAGAAAAGAAAAAGACAAATACATTCTAAGGAAAGAAATGTAGATTATCTAGAAATTAATAAGAATTAAATATGTTCCATATATCTTAATATTAAGTGTAAGTGAGAAAACACCTTAAAGCAAAGCTTTCAAAATCCTGAGGGAAAAATATTTCAAAATGAGAATCTTATATTCAATAAAATGATATTTATTAAAAGGTTAAAATACAGACATTTTCAATCTATAGAAAGACACAGAGTTTATCTCCCAAGTACCTTTATTGAACAGCATCAATAGCAAAAGAAGGTGTTTATTACTTAGTGTTTAACAGAAAATACATTTAATACATGTTTAAAATTTTACATAGATGAAATATTTCTATAGCTTTCTCCTTTGTTTTTATAAACTTCTTATAAAACATATCTTTCTTTCAAAATAAACAGGATAACTTTTTGTATTTATTGTGCTTCAGAAAAATATATAAAATGTGGGAAATAAGTGGCATTTAATATATGTTATTACATGGATATATGAGTAAAACAAAATGGTACTCTACTATTTTATATAAAAATAATGCATTTTGCTTTCTTAAAAAATAAAGGATGATAGTCTTGTAAATCGTTTTCCATAAGTAAATAGAGAAATTCACCATTTATTTTAGACGTCCATGATGATTAAATTCATAGATATACTGTAGTTGCCTTTCTGCAGTTTTAGTTACCCACGGTCAACCACAGTCTGAAAATATTAAATTGACAATTACAGGAATGAAGAATTTGTATGTTTTCAATTGTGTGCCATTCTGAGTAGTGAGATGAAATCTTACACCGTCGTGTTCCATCCCACCTGGGATGTAAATCACCCCTTTGTCTACCGTATCCTCACAGTATATGTTCTCTGTCCATCAGTCATTAACATCCTCTACTCCGGACATTCAACCATTGTCAACATCATGGATCAAAGATCCAGGGTCTCCTGAGGCAGATGATCCTCCTTCTGACATATTGTCAGAGGTGAATAGTAGCCTAATGTTATCTCACAATGCCTACATAATTCACCTCACTTTATCTCATCATGTAGGCATTTTATCATCTCACATTATTATAAAATAAGAATGATTATAGCATAATAAGGTATTTTGAGAAAGATCACATCCACATAACTTTTATTATAGTGTATTATTATAATTGTTCTACTTTACTAGTGTTGTTAATCTCTTATTGTGTCTAATTTATAAATTAAACTTTATCATACGTATGTGTATTTAGAAAAAACACATAATATATTTAGGGTTTGGGACTATCTGCAGGTTCAGTCATCTACTGGGCATCATGGACTGTATCTCCTGCAGATTAGTAAGGACTACTATAATATTATATTTAGCCAATTTATTGCTCACTGACATTGAGATTGCTTTCTGATTTTTTACAATTATAAAAATGATTAAATAAAAACTTGAAAATATTGCATATTTGACACATACTTTTATTGGAAATAAAACTTTTTTGTATTTTATGGTATGCAAATTTTATTTTGAATGGCTATTACTTAATTTCCCTTCAAATATGCTAATATTTGTCTTTTCAGAAATAGTATGTGTGTGTGTGTATATATATATATATCCCTTCCTTAATCTTATCTTCAATAATATTCTATGTCATTCTAACGTCATCACAAAACTAATTCAATAATTATTTATGTATCAATCAATGGCAGAAATTTACAATGCATTAACATATGTAATTAAAAAAGGGGTTGAGGAAAATCTATTTACAAAAGTATGTTTGGTTTTCTTAAAAAGGAATAATGGTTTTACAGTCACCCCAATAAGGTTACCAACAGTAGATCAAACTTAATAACCTAGACCAGAAAGATCAAGATCAGATAGAGCAATTTACAAAACACAGTAAGAACCTAGCTATAGAAGAAAACTATCTCTGATCTTGGGTGGAGCATTACATCCACTACAAGCCTATAGGCTGGTGAAATGGGAGCTGAAGTGGGGAGAATAGCCTGACATTCTTCCTGCTTCACAATATTCTGGTAATGCATTTCATTGGCCAAATCAGAAGCCAGAGGGTAAGACCATCTAGTTTATACCTTAACAAATGTCTGCCTTCTGGGTAGAGACCAAGGTGGAGAAAGCTAAGACATGGCTCTACGGAGGCGAAGGAAGACTGATCATAATACTTAGAAAACAGAGAACTTTTTTGTCCTCAATCTATAGTATTTTAAGATCATAGTTTTAAGGTGAACAATTTCTCTTTATCAGGAAAATATAGCGATTGCAATTACATATGCAGGCAACATCAGAGTACCTAAATATATAAAGCAAATATTAAATGATCTGTAGAGAAATATAGGTGGCAATACAATAATAGTAGGGGACTTCAATACCCCACTTTCAGCAATGACTAGAGCATCCAGAAAAAAATCAACAAAGAAACACTGGACTTCAGCTACACTTTAGACCAATAGGATCTAACAGACATACACAGAACATCCCATCTAACAAATACAGAATACACATTCTTCTCAAGTACACATGGAATGTTATTCAGGATAGGTAATTTAGCCAAAAAACAAGTCTTTACAAATTTATGAGAATTAAAATGATATCAATTATCTTTTCTAATCACAAAATATGTAAGTAGCAATCAATAACAATAGAAATCTTGGAAAATTCACAAAACCATGGAAATTAATCAACATGTTCCTGAAAACCAATGAGTCAGAAAATAAATCAAAAGAGAAATTTAAAAAATATATCTTAAATGAAAATGAAAACACACATCTCAAACATATGGGATGCAGCAAAACAGTTCCAGGAGAGAAATTTATAGCAATAAACGTCTGTATCAAAGAAGAAGAAAGATCTAAAATAAAAAACCTAATGTAACAACTCAAAAAAATAGAAAAAGAACAAACTAAGTCCAAAGTCAACAGAAAGAAGGAAATAAATAACAGCAGAAATAAATGAAATATAGTTTAAAAAAATTTGAAACTCAATAAAACAGGTTTTTTAATTGAAAAGATAAAACAAAATTCACAAAACCTTAGCTAGACTAACTAAGAAAAAAGAGAGAAGCCTCAAATAAAATCAGAAATGGAAGAGATGGCATTACAGTGGATAGCACAAAAATCAAGAGCTTTATAAGAGAGTGATTAACAATATGCTATTATATTAGATAGCCTTAAAGAAAGAAAGAGATTCCTAGACACATACAACCTACCAAGACTGACTCATAAAGAGAAAATCTGAAGAGGCTAATAAGTAAGGACATTGAATCAGTAACAAAAAAATCAATCGTTCTTGAATCAAAGAAGAGCCTGGAACCTGATGGCATCACAGCTGAATTTTACCAAACATTTAAAGAATTAATGCTAATTCTTCTCAAACACGACCAAAAAAGTTAAAGTGGAAGGAACACTTCCAAACTCATTTAACTAGGCCAACATTACTCTACTAACAAAGCCAGATAAGGTGACTACATAGAAATTGCAGGCCAATTTTCCTAGTGAACACAAATGTTTAAAATACTCACAAAATACTAGCAAAAGAAATCCAGCAGTACATCAATATGATCGTTTACCATCACCAAGTGTGATGAGCAAGGATAGTTCAAGACATGCAAGTTAATAAATGTGATACACCACATTAACAAAACAAAGGACAAAAAAAGATCATTACAGTAGATGCAGAAAAAATCATTCTACAAAATGTAATATCCTTTTATGATAAAATCTTTAAACAAATTATGTGTAGAAATAATGTACTTCAACACAATAAATGCCATATCTGAAAAGCCCACATTTAACATACTGAATGGAAAAAAAAATAAAAGTTCTGAAAGCTTTTTCTCTAAGATCGGGAGCAAGACAAGGATTTCTATTCTTGCCACCTCTTTTCAAACATTGTGCTGGACGTCCCAGACAGAGCATTAAGGCAAGAGAAAGAAATAAAAATGAATTCTAATCAGAAAGGAAGAAGTAAAATTGTCTCTGCCGATGACATGATCTTATATATAAATAACTAAAGATTCCACAGAAAACAGCTAGAACCAATAAATGAATTCAGTAAAGTTCCAGGATAAAAAATTAACATAGAAGAATTGGTAGAATATCTGTGCACTGACAATGAACTAGCCGAAAACTAAATTTTAAAATATCCCATTTACAATAGACAAAAACGACAAAATACCCAGAAGTAAATTTAATCAAGGAGAAGAAAGATCTGAAAACTATAAAACACTGATGAAAGGAGTTAAAGAGGGCTCAAATAAATGGAACAATGTCTCATGTTCATGGATTGAAAGAACTAATGTTTAAAAGTCCATACTTCTGAAAATTATCTAAAAATTCAGTGTATTTCCTGTCAAAATCTTAATGTCATTTTTTACAGCAACAGAAAAAACAATCTACAGTTTGTCTGGAGCCACAAACTCCCTCAAATAGTCTACATAATCTTGAGCAAAATGAAAAAAGCTGGAGGCATCACAATACCTGATATCAAAATATAGTACAAGATTATAGTAATCAGAACAGCATTCGTACTGGCATAAAAACAGATACATCAGTGAGATAGAGAACTCAGAAATAAAGCCATGCATGTACAGACAACTGATTTTTAATAAAGATACCAAAAACATACAATAGATAAAAGGCAGTCTCTTCAATAAATGATGTAGGTACATTTAGATATCCACATGCAGAAGAAATTGGACTTTTATCTCACACCATTTGCTAAAACCAATTTAAAATGGAATACAGAATTAAATGTAAGACCTAAGATATAAAACTACTAGAAGAAAACATAAGAAAAAAGCTCCACAACATTGGTCTCGGCAATGATTTTTTTTATATGATCCCAAAATCACATGTAACAAAAACAAAAATAGACAAATAGGATTGCATCAAACTAAGAAGCTTCTGTATAGAAAAGAAAACAATCGTTAGAGTGATTAAAACACACAGAGTGGTAAAATAAATATTTGCCAACCATGTATCTCATAAAGGGTTAACTTCCAAAACATATAAGGAACTCAACTTGATAGCAAGAAAAAAAATGCACAAAGGATTTCAACAGACACTTCTCAAAAGAAAAATGACCAACAGGTTTATTTTAAAAATGCTCAATATCACTAATCGTCAGTAAAATGCAAATTAAAAACCCAATGAGATACCATCTCACACATGTTTGAATGGCTGCTATAAAAAAGACGGAAGATAAGTTTTGGCAAGAATGTAAAGCAAAAGGGCTCCGGTACACTGCTAGTGAAAATGTAAATTAGTACAACCATTATGAAGAATAGCATGAGGGTTCCTCAACAGACTAATAATAGAATTGACATATGATCCAGCAATTCCACTTGTGGGTATATGTCCAAAAGAACTGAAATCAGTATACTGAAAAGATAATCTGCACTCTTGTTTATTGCATCACTATTTGTAATAGCCAAGATCTGGAATCAACCTAAGTGTCCATCAAGGGATGAATGCATAAATAAAACATGTTAGAGATACACAACACCCTCCCCAGAGGCCAGGAGGTGGAGGAGAGCACGGGGATAAATTGACCAAAGTATACTAAGTTCAAATTAGACAAGATTTAGTTTTCACGATTTTAACAAAACAAGATTGTCATATTTAATATTAATGAATTTTATATTTCAAAATTGCAGTAGGTGTAGATTTTAAATATTCTCATCGCAAAAAAGATAATTATGTGATGTTTATTTGCTTGATATAATCATTTCATACCATATAAATACATCAAAACATTATATTATAATCCATATATACAATTATTTTCAACTAAAAATATAAACAAAAGTAAAAAATAAAATGAATCAAGTTTTACATAACATCAAGAAACACATTATTAAGTATTAAGAGAAATAATCACAACTCGCTTTCTGCATCTTAATGTGTTAACAATGTGCACTTTTGATTTCCATTTAAATCCCTGACATTTGCAATGTGTTTGCATTAATAGAACATAATTCTAGACTTTTCTTGAAATGGTTTTGTGTTTTGAAAAATTGTTTGTAGTAGCACTGGGCAGATTACTTATTGTTGCTTCTGAAAATAATTTAGGAATTTTTGAAAGAACATTCTCAAACATGAATTAAATAACAGCGCTGAATAAATGTACCAATAATTTTCCTATCTACTTTTAAATACACATTTCTCTGCAAAACAAACTAATAATTTTTAAAAATCAGGTAAATATCAATATTTTAATATAAATTCATTTTTTATATTTCCAGCTATCAATTAATTATATTTAACATAAAAACATGGGTGTTATTTGCTATATGGAAAAGAAACATACCTGGTATATAAGCTTGCATTTTAAAACTTGGATCACATTTTAAAGGCACCAGGCAGCTTGCAGTAGAAAAGATAGCATGGTCAATTATTTAATAGAATAAAAAATTACTTTGAGAATCATATGCACATTTTCTCTTTTAGGAGTCTATAATAGTATATCTAGTACCTGCTTATATATATGCATATATGCACATATGTATACATGCACATATATGTATGCACACAGAGATTTATAAATTACTACATTATAGTTAATTTTATGTGCTAATTTGACTGGACCATGGGGTACCCTGATGTTTCATCAAATATTATTCTGGATGTTTTGTGAGGATGTTTTTGGATAGGATTAGCATTAAAATTAGTAGATTGAGTAGAGAAGATCGTCCTCCCTAATGTGGATGGCTTCATCCAATCCGTTGAAGGCCTAAACAGAACAAAAAGGCTGACCCTCTCCCAGATCAGAATTTTCCTGCCTGTTTTAAAACTGGACCATTTGCATTTTCTTACTTGAGCTGAAACATTAACTCATCTTGGATCTTGAGCCTGCGGATCTTCGGACTGATGCTCCATCATTGGCTCTCCAGCTTGCTGACTCACCCTGTAGCTCTTGAAACATATCAGCTTCCATACTCTTATAAACCAATTCTTATAATAAATATCTTTAGACAGATATATAGATATATAACTATATATCCTATTGGTTCTGTTTCTCTGGAGAACTCTAATTAAAACACATTGCATTTAATAATATGGATAGCCTTTAATGGTCTGTGGAAAATTACTTGGGGGCCCTAGGTATTGGAAAACTGTTTAGCTCAAGAAAAAAGACATGTAAATATTATTTAACTTTCAACATCAGGTGATCTGCATAAATTATTGAAGTTCAGGGTATTGGCAAAGGCTGATGGTGAAAGAACAGGACAAAAAATATGCTCTGGCTAGAATTTGAGAAGTTTTAACTTAAGAGTTAATCCCTCAATTTTGAAAATATGCTCACAAGGTCAATCACCCTGTTTAATTTTGGAAGTGTTCAATCATAAACCCATCAATGGGTTCACAGTCCAAAAAACTAAAGATCTTTTTAACGTAAGTTTTGTCCAGTGTCTGGAAAGCATCAGAAGGAAATTACAGAGTATAAATTTGGGTCAATTGTTATATCAATTTCAGGAAGAGATCTCTATTGTTTCTGAAATAGTTGTGTCATATGGAATAAGTCAGTGTGTTTATTCCTAGAAATGTACATTAAACAACGTTTTGTAATGACAAGCCCAGGGAACCACCTAGCAGTGAATGATGGTTCCCAAAGGGGATTCCAACAGGACCATGTATGGAATATTTAGCTCTTAGGACTATAAAAGGCTGGTGCGGTGGCAAGGAGCAAGCCAGAGTTGGGACCTTCAAGTGCAATGTCAGGAACTCCAGGGAATAGTAACCATCTAGTTCATATTCTAAAGGGACATAAGATTAAGAAATAAAAGTGAACTACAGAATGCAAGGAAGTGGGAAGAGCTGGGACTATGGCTTGGCAGAAATGACCTTTACTCAAACTTAATAAAATTGGAGCAGTGGAGTAGGTCAATTTCTCTAGCTTAAGAAATTGTGATTACTTGTTTTTTCATACTTGGGGTTTTCAACAGAAAACTATATAATACCAAGTCAGGTTTATATACATAAAAATATCAATAAGATTCTTTTTCATTTTATTCAGTAATAGCATAATGAAACTTCCAACTATTGGTTCCGAATGATTGAATTGAATCCCTAATGAATCCAACTGCATGTTTTGTTTTTTTTTAATTGGTTATCTTTATATATAGGAAACTCAGTTGTATATTCAGATTATAATATTGGCTTCCCTGATTTACACAATGAAGACATTTCAGAGTTTCCGAGGGAATAAGCCTATTTCCAGTATGTATAAGACAACAGTTATAATCCTGATGAAACATTTCTTTCAAGCCCCAGTGGTTACCTGTGCAACTCTCTGGTTCAGTTTACTTCTCACTTGCTACTTATGGCCTTGTGACACGTCATCAATGGATTGACATCCTGATCTTAAATCAAGGATCATATTACTAGCAGAGGTAGAATTTTGGCTTTCTTAACTACTGCTTTCAGTAAATGAATCTTTATTAATGGATTTTTCCAAAAGATTTTCTAACATGATTTTTTTAGGTTGGTAATGATATTTTTTATCATACTGGTTTTATTTGGAATACTATGCATACAAGGAATATTTTTTAATCTTTGCTTTCCCCAGAAAGAGTCACTTTGCTTGAACTCCTAGGTAAAATAAAATATTTCTTGTAACGCAGAAATATGATTATTACAATTACTGTGCATTTAATCTTATTCCTCTCTTCTTACCCACCTTACTAATTCAGAATTTTTTCCTATTTAACAATTTCCTGTCTCTTTACACATTAAACCCCCATAAAGGCCCTGCGAACTATGCCTCCATGGTATAGTTGGAGTGAGAGACCTATATGGAGTGGAAGAGCTCTTTTATAGGACAGAATAGCTTAAAGCAGTTGATTCTTTAATGTGGCCTTTCTCATCCTCTGCTCAGAAAAAAATATATAGCATTTTAATATCAAAACATGTAAGAGACTATATCCTCAGATTTATATTACTTGTAGAAAAATTTTAAGTTATCATTCTTCTATATTTTCCCCTTATATATCTGTGACTTGATGAAAATATTCTTCTTGATAGGTGCTTTTACAAGATCCTATTGGGAACAATTGGCCTAAAGAATAACATTGACACTCAGAATTGTGACATGTCACAAACACTGAAAAAGGAAGTACACTTGTGTTACTTCTAGCCCCACCCCAGGAGTCATCTGGTAAATTTAAATAAAAACAACTCAATGAACTTTTATAGGCCAACTTATTGATAAATCTCTTCTATCCTTTAGGGTTATATCATTTCATGTATACATGATGTAGTTTAAGATTGCCATATTTGCTTGTTCAATAGTATGGGAATATAGGTCTGTTGAGAAGGTATTTTCCAGCTCTTTTACTTTACAATGAAAATGTTCTTATACATTTGTTAATTATTTTAATATTTAAAAATTTGACTTATATTGTCCTTAGCTTTTTTCCACTATGATTCTGTAGTTATAATATGTCACATAGTTGAGGTCCACTAAATAATATCTGATACTATATCATCTCTGAACTTAATATTTTAAAATTATTTATTAACAAGACTTTGCTATCTCTAATCAAATATAAATTTAATTCAGCTTACTCATTGCATATGTTTCAATTTAGAATACATTGTTCAAATTAGTTTTTCTGACAAAATCTTTGCTTTCAATAATATGCTGAGAAAAAAGGGAGTCTATTTTTCTCGTTGAGGTATATATTCTCAATGACTGAAGCTATTCTTAAACTATTAGCAAATTAAGTTATTAATGTAGAAATATTCATAAATTAAGCAATAAATTTATTTTAGAATGACTTGAATTAGAAGCTTCATTTCTACTCAAGAGAATTTTAATTGTGCTTGCAAGTTGGACAGACGTGCTAGCATTGAGAGACAATGAAATCTATATATATGGTGGTAATAATATAATTACTTCTAAAAGTCAGATGACTCATATAAAATAATGAGCAATTAGTGCTTACAAATAGTCATTTGTTATATATTATTATTATAATGTCTACCATTAAAAGGGAATATGTGAAATATTGCCAATCTTAAAAAGTATTATTTCAGAGCAAATATGTTCTTTGATTACACAAATCACCTCTGATTTTTAAAAAACTGGTGTATGTATTTGCTGTCTAGAATAATATATTTACTAGGTTAATGCTCATTGTTGAAATAGATACTGTGATGTGCCTCCCAGATTTCTCTAGGAGAAAACTCCTTTTTCAGGAGTTTTGACTGCTGAAGTCTCAAAACTGAGCTAATCCCTCAAAATTGCCCTCACCCAATATTATGCCCATGCCCTGAGAACAGTCTACTTCTAAGAAGTGGTCAATTTGTACAAAAACCTGGTCCTCTTACTTTAAGTCAGGATATGTTTGAAGAACTATCTCAGTTTACGTTTCCCTATAAGTTGAGGCCCCTGTTGCAACCACATCACAATTCAAATCCCCTTTCGGCCCAGTCCTATTTCTTCCATTTCCTTATAAGACGAACAAACAAGGTTATGTTTATTAAAATGATGATGAGCAAGATACAGCTAATATAAGGGAAGCCTTGATAAAACACATGCATTCCAGAGTGTGAGAAATTAATTCTGTTGTCATGGAATCTTTGGGATGTTGTTTTTTTAGCCAGAAACCTCTGTGGCCTTTGGCACCTTTGCCTGAGATTTTCCTCACGTCTGCTGAGCTCATTCCACCCATTCGGCCTGACAGTCTGTGCTCAGCTCATGCTACCAACCTGAATCTCACACCTGCCATGGGTGAGCCAGGCACAGAGGGCTGTGTGAGGGAGCAAGCATGGGCTCCAGCCACTGCACACGGCCAGGCATGTCAGCTGCAGCAGGGTGGGTATCTCCAAGCGCTGGCTCCTGCAAAGCTGCAGCTGGACCAGACACACTGCAAGCACCTTCCATGGCTGGCACTGGGGAATGCAATAGCACTCAGAAGCTTGGAGATGGTAGCCGGGCGCGGTGGCTCACGCCTGTAATCCCAGCACTTTGGGAGGCTGAGGCGGGCGGATCATGAGGTCAGGAGATCGAGACCATGGTGAAACCACATCTCTACTAAAAATACAAAAAATTAGCCTGGCGTGGTGGTGGGTGCCTGTAGTCCCAGCTACTCAGGAGGCTGAGGCAGGAGAATGGCGTGAACCCAGGAGGCGGAGTTTGCAGTGAGCCGAGATCGCGCCACAGCACTCCAGTCTGGGTGACAGGGCGAGACTCCGTCTCAAAAAAAAAGCAGCTTGGAGATAGCATGAACTGCAGCACCTCAAAGAGGATGTCATAGCCCTGGCTCGGGGACCTCCTAGGTCTGGGCTCCCCAAAAGGCTTCAGCTCTTCTTTCCTTCTCTCTTTTCTCGTCACCCACAACATGGCAAGCAAGGGACATGTTTCAGCCCTGTTTGTGTTACAGCTCTTTTAGCCCCACCATTCGGCAGGTCCCAAGTTCCTGTCTTGCATCCAGGAAGAATGAGGTAAGTGGACAAGCGGAGGGTGAGCAAGGTGAAGAGGAGCTTTACTGAGCAACAGAACAGCTCAGAGGAGACCCGTAGTGGGTAGCTCCTCTTCACAGGCAGGGTGTCCCAATGAATGTTCAGCTTTCAGCAGAGAAGAGACCCTGGAGTGGGTAGCTCTTCTCCACAGCTGGTAGTCCAAACCTCTGCTGGGTCCAGGGGGTTTTTACAGGGTTCAGAGGGGAGGAAGTGCATACTGATTGGTTCACGGGTGACTACGGGCAGGCCCAGAAAAAGCAGCGTAAGTTCTCTTACTGGTCTGTCAGTCCAGCCCCCAGACTTCATCTCTGGCTTGAATGTGGGGCCTCACCAGGGACCTTCCCCTTTCTGCCAGGAGCCTATCTGCCTCCTGCCATCACCTAGGCTGTTTGTGCTGAGGGGTGCCTGCAGGCCAGTACCAAGCTGCCCTCAGCCACCACTTGGCCTCCCTCCTATGCTCATCAACACCCAAATTCCAGAGGGGACTGAGGCAACAGGTGGCTGGCATATCAGTGCTGCCCTGAGCGTGCACACGTCCAGTTGCATTGCAACAGCACCTGGACTCGGCCTCAACTTTTCTCCAAGATCAGAGCAAGCACTGAAAATTGGGAGAGACTAGGCAGAGGGAACAGACACTTCTCAGCCTGTGGGGGTGAGATGGGGGACTTCCGGGCCCTTGAGAGTGCAGAGATGCCCAGGTCTGCAGCCACAGCTGGGCAGCTGCAGCTGTACCTGAGAGGGCAGGGCTCCCTCCTGCTCCCAGCCCCCAAGAGAACAGGGATGCCAGGGTCCAGAGTAGCAGCTGGTCAGCTGCAGCTGTGCCTGGGGAGCACAAGGCTCCCATCCTGCCAACTGGGAAGTGGGTAGGGCTTTTGCCTATCCCTGGCTTCTGCTGGCTCCATGGAGCATGCCGCCCCAGCTGTGCTTTCCTTACTGCAGCTGGCATCATGGCAGCAGCTGCTCCAGATGGGCCATCACTGCCATCACTATAATGTTTTAGAGACTGAGCATATGAATAATATTTTAAGAGTCCAGCCATCTGTTGTGCTCTGGTGTATTCCTTTCAAAACAAAAGCTAATCATGACACTTCATACCTCCCACCAAAGTAAAGGAAGCAAGATTCCTAGATCTCTTTTGTTCTTTGGGCAACATATTCTGCACTTGAGAATACCACTCCCACCCATTTACTTACTGAAATGAAAACTGCCACCTTCGATTGGGGCACGCATAAAGAATGGCTTTGCAGCTGTTTTGGGCTGCAATGCAAGTCCTATTGTTAAGATCATACAAACTAGTAAACTAAGGAATTAAAGACATTTGTGGTAGGAAAATATTCATAAGCCCAGGTGTGGTGGCTCACACTTCTAATCCTGGCACTTTGGGAGGCCAAGGCAGGAGCATCACTTGAGCCCAGGATGTTGAGGCTATAGTGACTTATGATTGCACCACTGCACTCTAGCCTGGATGACAAAGCAAGACTCTAAAAAGTGCAGGTGGGGCCAAGATGGCCGACTTTAAGCAGTGGTGTTCAGAGGCTACCATTGAAAAAAATATAATAAGCATGTAATAAGCATGTGAATCCTTCACCGGCATCCAAGGTATCCAGATTCTCTCATCCAAATTGACTAGAAGGCTGAAGTGACCCATGGAGAGAAGGAAGAAAGTGTGGTACATCAGCCCACTTGAGAGCCACATGGGGCAGGGGAATTGCCTTCCCCCAGGCAAGGGAGGCAGTGAGTGAGTGTGCTACCCAGCCTAGGAAACTGCTTTTCCACATAACTGTGCAACCACAGATCAGAATATCCCACTCATGGACCCACTCCACGAGGGCCTAGTGTCCCAACCTCAGAATGAGCAGATTCTTACAGCATCTCAGCTAGAATCTGCTTAAGCCTACCAAATTCCCAGGGTGGGGAGAGGCGACCAGCACTGGCTGCTGCTGCATGCTGTCTAAGCCTTTTGAGCTCCTTTGGGGAGGGGCAGCAGCCAGCACTAGGACTTGCAACTGCCTAACATACTAAGCTTCCTGGGCTGGGGAAGGGCAGCACCCATTTCTATAGCTTCAGGTAGTGTTTTTCCTCTGCTTGAGCCAGGATGGCTGGAAGTCTTGGTCCCAAGACTTATCACCACAGCCCAACACACTGGCTGTGGTAGTCTGTGGCCACAGTGCCTCTTTGGGCCAGACCCTGATGCATCTTTCCTCATTGGGCAGGATTCCCTACAGGAACTCCAATAGCTCCAGCCAGAGGCTTAGGGACGGAATTTGGATTTCCCTTTGCCTGAGCCCCAATGGGGAGGGGTGGCTACTGTCTCTGCAGACCAGCAGACTTAGCCTCTCCTCCTGGTAGTTCTGAGGAATCTAGGCAGCCCAGATGAGTGGGATATCCCCCAGTGAAACACAGCCCCTCCAACAAGGGACACAGTACTTCATTAAATGGGTCCTAGCTGGGTGAGACCTTCCAACAGGGATTGTCAGATACCCTATACAGGAGCAATCCTACTAGCATGAGGTTGGTGCCCCTTGAGGCCAGAGGTCCCAGAAGAAGGAGCAGGCACCCATCTTTGCTTCTCTCCAGCCTCTCTGAATGACATCTCCAGGCACAGGAGCGAATCAGATGAATAGGGCCTAAAGTGAACCCCCCAGAAAACTGCAGCAGCCCTGCAGAAGAGGGGCCTGACTACTGACAGAAAAACAAGCAAGCAGAAAACAATAACAGCATCAACAACAACAAGAAAAGGTACCCACAAAATCCCCATCCAAGGTTCAGCAGCCTCAAAGACTGAAACAGGCAAACTCACGAAAATGAAAAAGAGTCAATGAAAAAATACTGAAAAAGGTCAGAGTTCCCCTTCTCCCCCAAATGATCCCAATATCTCACCATCAGGGGCACAGAACTGGACAGAGGATCAGATGGATTCAGATTATGGGTAATTAAAAACTACGCTGAGCTAAAGGAGCATGTTCTAAACTAATGCAAAAAAAAGCTAACAATCTTGATAAAAGGGTAGAGGAATTGCTAACTAGAATAACCAGTTTAGAGAGGAACATAAAGGACCCAATGGAGCTGAAAAACACAACACAAGAATTTCAGGAAGCATGCACAAGTATCAACAGCCAAATCAACCAAGCAGAAGAAAGGATATCAGAGTTTGAAGACCACCTTGCTGAAATAACATGCACAAAGAATAGAGAAAAAAGAATAAAAAGGAATGAACAAAGCCCCCAAGAAATATGGGATTTCATAATAAGACCAAATTTATGAATGACTGGAGTACTAGAGGAGATGAGGAGAATGGAAATGAGCTGGAAAACACACTTTAGGATATTATCCAGGAGAACTTCCCCAACCTAGCAAGACAGGCCAACATGCAAACTCAGGAAATACAGAGAACACCATTAAGATACTCCACGAGAAGATCAACCCCAAGACACATAATCATCACATTCTCCAAGGTCAAAATGAAGGAAAAACTGTTAAGGGCAGCCAGAGATTAAGGCCAGGTTGTCTACAAATGGAAGCCCATCAAACTAATAGTGGTCCTCTCAGCAGAAACTCTACAAGCCAGAAGAGATTGGGGGGCAATATTCAACGTTCTTAAAGAAAAGAACTGTTAACCTAGAATTTCATATCCAGGCAACCTAAGCTTCATAAGCAAAGGAGAAATAAAATCCTTTCCAAACAAGCAAATGCTGAGGGATTTCATTACTACTGGGCCTGCTCTGCAAGAGCTCCTGAAAGAAGCACTATATATGGCAGGAAAACTGTATCAGCCACTACAAAACACACCAAAGTATAAAGATCAATGATGCTATGAAGAAACTGAATCAACTGGTGTGCAAAATAACCAAATAGCATCATGATAGCAGCATCAAATTATCACATAACAATACTAACCTTAAATGTAAATGGGCTAAATGCTCCAATTAAAAGACACGGACTGACAAATTGGATAAGGAGTCAAGGCCCATTGGTGTGCTGTATTCAGGAGACCCATCTTACATGCAAAGACACATATAAGCTCAAAATAAAGAGATGGAGGAAAATTTACCAAGCAAATAGAAAGCGAAAAAAGAGCAGTGGTTGCAATCCTAGTCTCTGACAAAACAGACTTTAAATCAACAAAGATAAAAAAAGACAAAGAAGGGCGTTACATAATAGTGAAGGGAGCAATTCAACAAGAAGAGCTAACTATTCTAAATACATATGCACCCCATATAGGAGCACCCAGATTCATAAAACAAGTTTTTAGAGACCTACAGACAGACTTAGACTCACACAATAATAGTGGGAGACTTTAACACCCTGATGTCAATGTTAGATAGATCAATGGGACTGAAAATTCACAAGGATATTCAGGACTTGAACTCAGCTCTGGATCAAGTGGACCTAGTAGACGTCTACAGAACTCTCTAGGCCAAATCAACAGAATATTCATTCTTCTCAGTGCCACATGGCACTTATTCTAAAATTGACCACATAATTGGAAGTAAAATACTCCTCAGCAAATGCAAAAGAACTGATATCATAACAAACAGTCTCTCAGACCACAGTGTAAACAAATTAGAACCTAGGATTAAGAAACTCACTCAAAACCACACAACTACATGGAAATTAAACAACCTGCTCCTGAATTACTCCTCAGTAAATAACGAAATTAAGCCAGAAATCAAGAAGTTCTTTGAAACCAATGAGAACAAAGACACAATGTACCACACAGAAATCAAGAAGTTATTTGAAACCAATGAGAACAAAGACACAAAGTACCAGAATCTCTGGGACACAGCTAAAGCAGTGTTAAAAGGGAAATTTATAGCACTAAATGCCCACATCAGAAAGCTAGAAAGATCTCAAATCGACACCCTAACATCACAATCAAAAAAGCTAGAGAGGCAAGAGCAAACAAATCTAAAAGCTAACAGAAGACAAGATATAACTAGGATCAGAGAAGAATTGAAGGAGATAGAGAGAAGAAAAACCCTCCAAAAAATCAGTGAATCCAGGAGGTGTTTTTTTTGAAAAAATTAACAAAGTAGATAGACAACTAGCTAGACAAAGAGAGAGAAGAATTAAATAGACACAATAAAAAATGATAAAGGGGATATCACCACTGACCACACAGAAATACTATAAAAACCTCTATACAAATAAACTAGAAAATCTAGGAGAAATGGATAAATTTCTGGACACATACACCCTCCCAAGACTAAACCAGAAAGAAGTCAAATCCCCTAATAGACCAATAACAAGTTCTGAAATTGAGGCAGTAATTAACAGCCTACCAACCAAAAAAAGCCCAGGACCAGACAGATTAACAGCTGAATTCTATCAGAAATAAAAAGAGGAGCTGGTACCATTCCTTATGGAACTATTCCAAACAACTGAAAAGAGATACTTCTCTCTAACTCATTTTATGAAGACAGTATCATCCTGATACCAAAACTGGGAAGAGACACAACAACAACAAAGAAAATTTCAGGCCAATATCCCTGATGAACATTGATGCAAAAATTCCCAATAAAAAACTGGCAAACTGAATCCAGCAGCACATCAAAAAGCTCATCCACAAAGATCAAGTTGGCTGCATCCCTGGGATGAGAGGCTGGTTCAACATGTGCAACTCAATAAATGTAATCCATCACATAAACCAAAGACAAAAACCACATGATTATCTCAATAGATGCAGAAAAGGCCTTTGATAGAAGTCAACATTCCTTCATGTTAAAAACTCTCAATAAACTATTGATGGAACATATCTCAAAATAATAAGAGCTATTTATGACAAACCCGCTGCCAATATTATATTAAATGGGCAAAAGCTGGAAGAATTCCCTTTGAAAACTGGTACAAGACAAAATGATGCCCTCTATCACCACTCCTATTCAACATAGTATTGTAAGTTCTGGCAAGGCAGTTAGGCAAGAGAAAGAAAGAAAGCGTATTCAAATAGGAAGAGAGAAAGTCAGATTTTCTCTGTTTGCAGATTACATGATTTTATATTTAGAAAACCCCATCATCTCAGCCTAAAAACTTCTTGAACTGATAAACCACTTCAGCAAAGTCTCAGATACAAAATCAATGTGCAAAAACCACAAGTATTCCTTTACAACAACAATAGGCAAGCAGAGAGCCAAATCACGAATGAGCTCCCATTCACAATTGCTACAAAGAGAATAAAATACCTAGGAATACAGTTAGCAAGGGATGTGAAGGACCTCTTCAAGGAGAACTACAAATCACTTGTCAAGGAAATGAGAGGAAACAAGCAAATGGAAAAATATTCAATCTTTATGGATAGGAAGAATCAATATTGTGAAAATGGCCATACTACCCAAAGTAATTTATGTATTCAATGCTATTCCCATCAAAATTGACATTCTTCACAGAATAAGAAAAAACTATTTTAAATTTCATATGAAATCAAAGATGACCTCGTATAGCCAAGACAATCCTAAGCTAAAAGAACAAAGCTGGAGGTATCACATTACCTGACTTCAAACTGTACTACAAGTCTACAGTAACCAAAACAGCATGATAATGGTACCAAAACAGACATATAGACCAAAGGAGCAGAACAGAGACCTCAGAATTAACTCCACACATCTACAATCATCTGATCTTTGACAAACCTGACAAAAACAAGCAATGGGGAAATGATCTCCTATTCAGTAAATGGTGCAGGAAAAACTGTCTAGCCATACGCAGAAAACTGATACCTGGACCCCTTCCTTATACCTTATACAAAAATTAACTCAAGATGGATTAAAGACATAAATGTAAAACTCCAAACCACAGCTACTCTAGAAGAAAACCTAGGCAATACCATTCAGGACATAGGCATGGGCAAAGACTTCATGACAAAAATGCCTAAAGCAATTGCAACAAAAGTCTAAATTGACAAATGGTATTTAATTAAACTAAAAAGCTTCTGCACAGCAAAAGAAACTATCATCAGAGTGAACAGGCCACCTACATAATGGGAGAAAATTTTCTTACTCTCCCCATCTGACAAAGGTCTAATATCCAGAATTTACAAGGAACTTAAACATATTTACAAGAAACAAAAACCATCAAATATGGGCAAAGAATATGAACAGACACTTCTCAAAAGAAGACATCTATGTGTCCAACAAACATATGAAAAAAAGCTCAACATCACTGATTATCAGAGAAATGCAAATCAAAGCCACAACGAGATACCATCTCATGCTAGTCAGAATGGTGATTATTAAAAAGTCAGGAAACAACAGATGCTGGCAAAGCTGTGAAGAAATAGGAATGCTTCTACACTGCTGATGGGAATGTAAATTAGTTCAACCACTGTGGGAGACAGTATGACAATTCCTCAAGGATCTAGAACCAGAAATACCATTTGACACAGCAATTTCATTACTGGGTTTATACCCAAAGAAATATAAATCATTCTACTATAAAGACACATACACACATATGTTCATTGCAGCACTATTTACAATAGCAAATACATGAAACCAACTCAAATGCCCATCAGTGATAGATTGGATAAAGAAAATGTGGTATATATGCCCCATGGAATACTACACAGCCATTAAGAGTAATGAGATCATGTCCTTGTAGAGACCTGAATGAAGCTGGGAGCCATCATCCTCAGCAAACTAACACAGGAACAGAAAACCAAACACCGCATGTTCTCACTCATAAGTGGGAGTGAACAGTGAGAACACATGGACACAGAGATGGGAAAAACACATGCCATGGCCTGTTGGGGGTGGGGGGTGAGAGAGGGAACTTAAAGGACAGGTCAATAGGTGCAGCAAACCACTGGCCATGTATATCTGATGGAAAAAAACCTGCACATTCTGCACAAGCATCTTTTTTTTTTTAGAATAAATAAAAAAAAGACAAGGAAACATAAAACAAAACAATAAATAAAAAATAAAACTGATAGACTTGGCTACAAAATAAAGACTTTAAAAAGAAAAAAAAAGAAAACAAAATTGAAAGAAAAACATTCATACGTCACTCAAAAAATATCTTAAAATGCTACTTAGCCATGAGAGAAATGCTGATCATGGGATATCAAGTGACCATGCAGCCCATCCTTTATGATCCGGCTTCTGTGAGACCCTCCACATCATGTGGTCATGTAGATCCAGCTATCTATTCCAAGGTTGAAGGAAAGTATTTGAAATTGGGCAGAATCAAAGTTAGGGCTACAAGTAATTTGCATAAAGTGGCTTAGAATTTCAATTTATCAGACACCCCTGCACTGGGCCCTGTCCCTCAGCTCACCCCTATGGTTACATTGGCAGCCACTCAGAACAGCCTATATTGAAGGCAAAGGCCAAGAAAAAGATTATGAGTACATTGGCTTGTGGTTGCAAATTAAAAATGCGCTAATTCTACTGTATAAGGTGGGCCTTCTTAAAGCTCATACACTCAAGAGTGTGAGAAATATACTCTATAATGTTTCTGGGACTCAACGTATCGATAAGTGCATTGTTTGGGGGTCCAATGACCTGGGGTGTTCTGAAATGTTCCTCAAACATAAAGAAACCCAAATTACAGTATCTCACAACTCCCCCCATAAAGAAATAAGCAACATGTTTAGTAGACTTCATTTCTGAAGAAGTGGTCATGAATGACATTGGTGAAGAGGAATTTTCATGTGGGCAGAGCTTCAGGTGATATACTTGGTCATTCATATTGTGTGGCAAGAATAGTTTCCATAGATGACAACATATATGAACTCATTGGCAGTGGGGAAAGACTTGCTTTGTTTATCAGGGGCCTAGAAGCAGACAGCTTAGAAGACTGAGACAGAGAGGTCTACAGAAAAGGCGTGTGCATAAATGAGGGGGGTAAGCAAAAAGAGTGAAGATCTTTATGTTACCTTATGATGCTTTATTAGTCAAAGTTCTCCAGAGAAACAACCAATGGTGTGTGTGTGTGTGTGTGTGTGTGTGTGTGTGTGTGTGTAGAGAGAGACAGAAACATAAAGATTTATTATAAGTATAAATATATATTTTAAATTTATACATAGAGATAGACAATGGATATAGGTCGGTTTTAAGGAATTGGCTAACACAATTATGGAAACTTACAGGTCCAAAATCTGCACAGTGGACCAGCAGGCTAGGGACCAGGAATGAGCCAGTGTTGCAGTTGAAGTCTGAAGCCCCTCTGCTGCAGAATTATTTATTACCCAGTGGAGGGCGATCTTTTATTCTCTTTAGACTTTCAACTGGTTTGTTAACGTCCACCACACATTATGGAGTACAATCTGCTTTACACAAATTCCAACTTAAATGGTAATCTCATCCAAAATACTCTCACAGAAACATCAGAAAAATATTTGACCACATATCTGAGTACTGTGGCCCAGCCAAATTGACAAATAAAATTAGCCATCACAAATCTCTACCAGAGATGCTCACCATGAAAGAGGCATTAATAAATAGAATGCTCCAGCCAGTTAATGTTCAGACTCTATCAGCAACCCTTCCTGAGCTAGCACAATGGGTGCATGAATAGCTTGGGTTTCTACTCACCAAGAATGACCTAGTTAATGCTGCTGCTAATTATTCATCTTGCTAGCAATAGAAATCAATACTAAATTTCTGATATAGGAATATACCTCTTAGATACTTAATGCCAAATTAACTACAGAGACTAACCTACATTCTGAAAAGGACAGTAATTCGTCATGATTGGAGTTCACACATTCTTTAGAGCCTCAATTTTTGCTAGCATTTCCTTTCCCACAGAGCCTCAGTTTTTGCTAGTATTTTAGTGCATAGAGTGTTTGATCCACTAATATGGTATTCTGCATAACATTATATTGTAACAAGGAACTCTACAGGAAAGGATATGAAGAAATGGAAAATTGAGGCATGTTACAGAAGCTAGGTTGGTAACAACACCCTGCTCAGATGGGGCACCATATTTTAGGAACAATATACACACTAAATCAATATAATAATGTGGTATCTTTCCTCATTATCTAAAATAAGTAAGCTTCAGAACCAAGAGATGGAAGTAGGAATGACTGTAATTACCGTTACTCTCAGTGACTGACTTGGTGAATGTGGGCTTGCCATATCTACAACTGTAGTCTCTTCAGATCTGAAAGTCTAGGTTCCCCATGAGGATACACTTCTACCAGGGATGACGGCCAGAATTTCAGCAAATTTCAAGGTATGGCTGCCACATAATGTTAGTCTCCTAATACTAAAAACAAGCAGGGAAGAAAAAAGTCACTATCTTGGCAGAGATAGTGACTGTAATCATCAGAAGAAAGAGATAGGGTTATTATTAAATGATAGGTAAAATGAAAAATATGTTTGGCATCCAGGTGATTCATTGGGTCATAACTTAGAACTCGTCTGCCATTTTTGAAATAATTTTATTGATATATGATTGACATAAAATACAATTTTCCTAGTTAAACCATTCAAGTCAATGATTTTAGAGTATTTCATTGTTTCTTAATTCTGATAAAATATATAAAAACTGTATATATTATAAATTGAATAAAATGTATATGTAACATATATTTTATAATTAAATTTATATACATAATCTATATAATTTTATATATTTATATATTAACATAAAATTTACCATTTTGATTATTTTTAGGTATACAATTCAATAGCATTAGCTACATTTAGAATGTCATGCGACCTTCATCTCTACCTATTTTGAAAAGTTTTTTGTCATCCAGGAAAGAAATCCTATAACCATTAATCAACAATTTCCACTTCTCCCTCCTTTCATCTCCCCTCTCATCTAATCTATTTTTTATCTCTATAAATTAATTTACCTAAATATTTTATATAATTGGGATTATATAATGGTTGTCCTCGTGTATTTGGCTTATTTCATTTAGCATAATGTTTTTAAGATTCATTCATGTTGTAGCATGTATCAGAACTTCATCCTTTTTATTGGTTAGTAATATTTTATTGTATATTTGGAGTACATTTTATTTCTCCAATAATCAGTTTACATACACTCAGATTGTGTTTACCCTTTGGCTATTATGAATAATGCTGAAATAAATATTGGCATAAGCATATCCATTTGAGTCTCTATTTTCAAATCTTTTAGGTATATACTCAGGAGTGGGTCACATGGTAATTCTGTTTAGCTTTTTGAGGAACCACAAAATATCTGCCCAATTTTGACAATAAATACATGACCATAGCAGCCTTAACTGGAGAGGGGAATCATGCCCTAGAGAATCAGCTTTTCAGAAGAAAAGTTGTCTCTCTTGACTAGGGGAAGTTATAGTTGAAGTTGAGGGGAATCTAGAAAGGGTAGCACAGGAGGAAGATTATGCATATCATTTGTGGCCCTGAGACCAGCTGAAGCCAGGGAAGAAAGGCTTGTGTAAGTCTCAATAATAATTTTCCCTCAGGAAATGAGACCTGAAAAATCTATTTCCAGAAGAAGTAAATTTATTATTGGAAACAAAGGCTCTAAGAGACACAAAGGGTGAACTGCAATGGAAGTTGTAGTGTACTGTTTAAGTCCCCTTTCAGAGTAAAGATGCTTTTTACCCCAGGTGCTGAGAATAATAGCTGCTGATGTATCATAGAAGTATCCCTTCCAAGGATTTTCTCTCAGCCAAAAAAGGCATCCTCATACACTCTTACATCTCCTCAATGGGAAGAAACCTATAACAAAAGTAATTAGTACAGGAACATAAAGCCTCAATACTTTTCCTCAATTTGGGATATTTCTGAAGGTCCAACCCAGTTTTAGAGCTCACAGTGAGATCAGGGGATCTGTTGCAACTATATCATAGTTAAATTTCTTCTTCTACCTAGTTTTGTTTTCCTTTTTCTCTCTTATAGGTAAAATTCCTTAAATTATTATTTAATATATTTTTCTTTCATTTGCCATTCTGGTAACCTGATTAAAAAACTAATTGTCTTAGAAAATTTGAGAAATTGCAATTACTATTAATAAGTACTGAAACTGATTTTTTGGTTTGGTTTTATCTATGGCTTATGATTTCCCATTTACAGAAAAAAAATCCAGTTTGTTAACGTTGAAATTCCATATTCTTTCCAGAATGACACTTTTCTTTTTCTCTGATAGTGCAAAGAATCCATTATAATTTCTATTTAAAATTAACTTATGGAATATGATGGGTAGTGAAGACTGTAAATGAAGTCAAAGCAAAGCAATAACTGAATGTGTAGGGAAAAAGTAATAGTAATATATTGTATGCTTATGAGTACTTAAAAATGAAATACATGGCAGCAATAGTACAGAGAATAAGATGAGAATAGTTGAGACCATATGGTTATAAGATAAACTGCACATGAAGTGGAAAGATATCATTGGAAGTTAGACTACAATTGAGTAAATATGTATATTTCAAATCTGGGACAATTACTAAAAAAATTAAACAGGTGTACATAATGAGACAATAGTGAAGATAAAATGTAACCATGTAAAATGTTCATTTAACACAGAGAAGGCATAAATGGAGAAAAAAGCCAAATAAAAACGGAACAAGCAGAAAGCAGCTATAGCAATACTCACATTAAATATAAAAGGTTAGAAGATAGCAGTTAATAAAAACATTGGTAGATTGAATGAGGAAAGAAAGAACCAATTATATGTTAGCTACAGGAAGCACACTTTAAATATCTGAGCTTAGAGCTGTTAAAAGGAAAAGGATGAAAATCTTTATACCATACATATGTCAAAATAAACCTCTTTAGTTATACTAATATCTGACAGAATAGATTCAGAACAAGAAATGTTACCAGGGATAAAGGGTGACATTACATAATGATAAAAGTGTCAATTTTCTAAGAAGATATAAAAATTTTTAATCTGCATGCACCTAATAACAGCTTTGAGTTATATAAAGCAAAAACTCATAGAAGTTGAAGAAGAAATAGAAAAAAATATCCAAAATTAGTTCTGGAAACTACAACATTCCTCTCTCTGTAATTGATAGAACTAGTAGCCAATCAGTAAGAACTTAGAAGAATTGAACAACTTCATCAAAGGAAATAATTGACATTTATGGAACACTTTCCTAATGTCAGCAGAATACATGTTCTTTTCAAATGTATATGAAACCTTTACCTAGACAGAGCATATCCTTGATCATATAGCAAACTATACAAATAGAAACACTAGAAATAATACAAATTATTTTTTTCTGACCATACAGAGCTAATCTAAAAATTAATAATTATTTAAAATAGTCCAAACTATTTGGAAATTAATTAATATACTTTTTTTTGAGACAGGTTCTCACTCTGTCTCCTAGTCTGGAGTGCAATGGCACAATCTTGGCTAATTTCAACCTCCACCTTCCAGGCTCAAGCTATCCTCCCAATTCAACCTCCTGAGTAACTAGGATGAAGGCACTTGGCTAATTTTTTGTGTGTATATATATATGTATATATATTTTGAGACTGAGTTTCACCATGCTGGTCTCAAGCAATCTGCCCCCCTGGGCCTCCCAAATCTCTGGGATAACAGGCCTGAGCCACTGCACCTGGTGGAAATTAACATATTTCTTAATAACCCATGGGTTAACGAGGAAGTCTGAAGAGATATTGAAAAAGAAAACTTAAATTGATTAAACATGAAAATAGAACATATCCAAATTTGTGGAATCCATCTAAAGCTGTCATTTGAGTATAATGTATAGCACTCAACTCTCATTTTAAGCAAAAATTACATTCTCAAATCAATAATCTCAGATTCCACCTAAATAAAGCAAATAAAATTCAAAACAAGTGGAAAAAATCATAAAGAATTGAGCAAAATTCAATGGAGAAACCAAAGAAAATAAACAATTTAAATGAAGCTAAAAGCTGTTCATTGAAATGAATTATAAAACCAATTGCATTTTATCAATGAGTAGATTAACACTCAGAGAGTTTAATTTATTTGCCCAAAGTTACACAGAGGCAGAAATTGAATAGAATCTAGGCCTTTCTTGATCTGAAAACTCCTAAGTACTAGCCTGAAAGTTTACATATTTCACCTGGGTTAATTTAAATGAGAGAAGACTACCAGAGTCTTCATTTAAATAAGATATTTGGCAGAATGTTTTTGTTTTCTCCTTCAGGTATAGAGAAGATATATGTTCCAATCTCGTCTCATAAATCAAAGAAGAATTGTAAAGATATATGTCATTGAGAAATCAGAGATGCCAAATTAAATGCTATAATGATGGCAACATTTCATTAATTAAGACAACCTATCCATGGTTAAAGTTAAGTTACACAAGTCATAGTAACATTTTCCAAAGTTTGAATGTCTTACAAGTCTTACTTATTAGAAAAATACATGTATAGACACTTCATTTTTATAAAACTCAGGGTATTAAACATTTTTCTTTCATCTCTGAGAGAATGAGAAAGATTTTATTCTTCTAATTTTGCTGAGATTTCTTTAATTCACAGTTAGAAGATCTTGCAGTTTCAGATCCTTAATCACAAAGAATAGAGAGTTCTCAACATCTCTGTTTGCAATTTCTCAAAGTTCATATTTTATGTACTGAGTCATTATTGTTTGTTTATATCTATAACTGCAGCCCAGCTTCACAAAATGCTTGAATTTGAGTTTTGCTAAGTTGCACTTATTTACAAAATGATTGTTACAAGTACACTGTATGCCTGTAAGAGTGTCTCTTAAAGTGCTGTCTGACATACACTGTGATAAAATTTGGGTGTTGGGTGTTAAAACCTACAGTCAGTTTTGGTAGAAAGTACAGATTTATGATAGAGTTGGACCTCAAAAAGAAGCCCTCTGTGAATATATTCATGAATTCATGAACTAGCTCAACATTCTCTGAATTGAGGCTCACATCTTTATTTTCTATTTTATTCCCAAGATAAATTACTCTATTATTTTAGGGTGGTGTCCATAGCAAGGGATAAAAAAATCTCAGCTAAAACTGGCTTAAGAAGGGATCTAATTTGTTCACATTACTGAAAAGCACAGACATAGCACAGAAAAGCACAGACATAGAATTAGCTTCAGGGAGCATTTGAATCCAGAGTCTTCACTAATAGCATCGGATCTCAGTATGTATGCCTGCATTATCACAGCCTCAAATTAGGTAGAAATAAAAAAGAGTAAGTCTTCATTTGGTGTCCATACAAGTCTGTTGTTAATTAATAGTAATTAAACCAGCTTGGGTCATAGGCTTATCTCAGAACAATGGATGTGGCCAGGGATTGAAAATTACATTGTTTAGTTCTGTCTTTGTTCCATTCTTAACTACTAGACCCAGTGTTATCTTCATCATATGGGATGAGGGTGAGGGAAGATTTTGTTTTTGTTTGTCTTGGTTTTTGGTTTTTGGGTTTTCTGTTTTGCCTAAAGGAAAATTGGGAGTCCCAAAAGAAAAGAGTGTATGCTGAGGAAGCAGAAATAATAACCACAGATTATAGTCTTTTATGTAAAAAAGACAGTAGAATAATTTTTGAGAACAGTTCTCCTTTTCCATTTCAAATACAGCAGCACAACTTCCGACATGAAGTGTCACTCTCAGTGGCATATTTCAGAATGACATGCCACTTAACACTGCTGTACTGATTAGTTTGGGAGGAAGTTATGATCAGAATAGTTCTTGCAACTATTCTACTTGTGTGTTTGCTGACAGGAATTCAGAGAAGTCTTGCTTGCTTGATGGGAAGATAAATGTCTTAAGAATTAAGAGGAACATTATATTCATGTTTTAGAGATGACTGTAGGTTGCTTGGTTAAAAAGGTTAAAAAGAGAGAGCTGCCACTCAGTGGTAAGTGAGAAAGTGTTTGACTTTTAGAGCACTATGCTTGAACTGCAAACAGAGTGAAGAACTCACCAAGAAAATGGGCTGCCCTTTGGACATCTCAACCTAAATGTAACATTTCTATTCAAAACCAATGTCTTCAATCAATAACTCTGCAAACACAGCAGAAATTATATCTACAATTTTCCCATAGTTATCTTCCAACACCCATATGGGCAATGCTGAATTTAATGTGACCTGTGACATGGATACTTTTTCTATTCTCACTTATCCTCCTTCAACAATTATAATTGCTCCCTCAGGGAATAATTCGGGATATTCTTCAACAATTCACCCCTATAAATGATAGGCTATTTTCAAGCTCAGGTCTAACACAATAAAATGCAATACAACACGTAGTCAAAAAGACTTGCTGAAGATTGAAATAGGTAGTTTAGTGGAAATCCGTAACTCGGATTTCAATCTGTCATTGTTTTGCTGTCTTTAGGAATCCAAATACTCAGCAAACTTTTCTAAATGTATTTTCTTTCTATTTTACTCCCATTTTTAAAAGTTAACAAAACCTAATTAATTATAACTAACACTTCTAAGATAGACCACTGGCTTTGTGCTTTTGGCATTTTAATTGTATTTAATTATTTACTTAGTCATTGACAATGCCTATAACACACAATGGTCTCTTTCTAGTGTTGATGCAGCATTAAAAAATGGTATTATTAAAGCTGTAATATTTAGTTCTTCCAAGAGTTAATTTTTTTAATTGCAAATGTAATTATTTAGGACATAGCTGAAAATTTGTGTCTGATCTATATGAATTTTCCATGTCAATTTGTTACATCTTATTCTTCTATCTAGTTAAAGTTACATCTTATTCCTTGTATCTGTTACATCTTATTCCTTCTATCTTATTCCTTCTGTGTAGTCTCAAGAGAAAGAAAAGAAAAATCAAAAGTATCAAATAAGTTCGACATAAGTACGGAAATACTCCATCTGTAACTTGTACATTTCTACTTATGTTAGACGGTGTTTATGTTTATGTTTTGGTGCTTTTCAGCTGTTTGGGATTCTGGCACAATATTTCACGTCTTGGAAACTAATGTAAAATCCCTAATATTTGAAAATATTATGTCGTTGCAAGGTAAGAGTGGGGTGCAGGAGGGATTTTGATATGGGGAGATAATAAAATGTCTTTATTTATTCATGATACAAGGCTTTGAAAACAGAATAATAATTTAGTGATTTGGAAACACAGAAAATAAAGTGGAAATATGTCACATGACAAATGTATGTAAGATAATTTAATATGAAAAACAGCAATAATAACTATGTAGCAGGCAGCTATCATAACCTAAAAATTCAAATTTAGAAAAACTTTCAATTATCTCACTTTCTTAAAGCAAATTCAATATAACTACAATTTTACTTTTCTCTAAGGTATTGGGAAACTCACTACATAATATTAATGGTGCCACTCCTTTCTCTCCTTTCTGAAAATCACACAAACTCCAAGAGAACCCATAAAATTGGAAAGACCTCTAACAGCCAGGTGTTACAGTCAATGCCAATGTCTTAAACAATCTTAAATAAATGAGGAAAAAGGAGTTCCAATCTCGCGCAAACATACATTACAGCATGAAGAATTAAAAGAGCAGTGTACTTGTTATATTCAGTAAGATTTTGAATATATTTGGCTACATATTAAAATCCCATGATAGCCAATTTAATATAAAACCTCAAAAATACCAACTAATAGGAGCCTTGTTTACTTTTCATATAACATGCAAATCTAAGTGAATTAAATTATGTGTGTCCTTCCAAGTATGTAAAAATTATATATCAGCTGTTTGACTAACATATATAAATCAATCTGAAGAACTCAAAAATGTTTATCAAATTAATACTGGAATATTAATTAATGTTTTATTACTTGTTATGACTTAGTTTATTTTATTACTTAGTTTATTACTTAGTTTTGAATGTCTGTAATGATTATGCAGCATGAGATCATCATAAAAATATATCTTTTATTTGGTCTGCTGCAAATTACAATAGAGGATTAAAATTAATGTGGAATTTCTACATTGTTTTGGCATTAATACTTGCATATTTAACGCTATAAAACATTTAGTTTCAGGTTAAAATCATCATATTATTCATGGATAGAATTGTTTATTCCTAATTCTTTAAAAAAGTCGTATTATGTTGACATAATCTACCACTTTCCTTTAGCTTTCTCTTGAGGGAACCTTCTATATTAGACTATTCATTATTTGTTTGATAAAAGAAATTGTGACTGTGAAGAAAAGCTGTAATGTTCAAAATGTTCTTTATTAAAAGTAAATATTATTGCTTATTAGAAATAATAAAAAATAGGTTATTCCAAATCGAACTGAATGATGGTCAACTGTCTAGTCATCTCTTCTTTCCACAGAAAACGTATTTATTCAATCTCTGAGTGTTTAGAACAAAAGAAAATCATGGCTGAACACATCTTGGCAGCAAACTATGCAATTTATTTAAACCTTAAAGTTTTTTCTGAGTATCAGTTCTCATCAGTGATTTCATGCTATTGCTAGAGATGTCTGCTGCAGGGCCATTGTCACCATGCCTAACAAAATAGGAAATAGAAAATATCATGCATTTTGTCTATTTATCTAATTCTTTTCTTATGCCTAATTTTGTTTCCCTTCATAGATTGCTTAGTAGTTATATGTTTGTAAATCCCTAGCCTTCTGTCCTCTCGTCACTTTTGCCTCTATATTTTTCTCTTAAAAATCTGAGAGAAATATTGAAGTATTTTCTCTTTAAATATTTGATTTTTAATTGTATTTGATTTTCAAATACTTGCTCAAGTTTCACATTTGAATTATCTTTACAATATCATTTAAAATGTGCTTTAAGTATTTTCTTCTTTTTTCCTATTTTTGACAACTCAAACAATATTTTTGGACATTTGTAATTTAGGTCAGTTAAATTAAAAATTCATGAAGTTATATTCTGCAAAAATATTGCAAATGTACCCAATATTTCCTTACAAACAACTTAAGGTTTTTGATACATATAATACAATTTATCTTGCAAACATTGGGTCAATTTACAACATACTTTACATAAATTGAAACTGATATTATAATTTCTGTGTCTGCAAATTTTAGAGTAAAGCCAAAATGATATCTTGTTTAATTTGCATTCGTTCAATACTACTTTTTTGGATAGTTTCCTTTATTTGTTCTCTAGTTTTTATTTTTCTTTCATAGATTTTGTTTTGGGGATTTTTAAATTTTATGTCATTTTTTGTTGGTTGGTTGGTTTTATTGTTTTATGTACAGTATAGCCAAGAACATCTGCAGTCTTCGGAAGGCAAAAGCAGGTCCAGAGAATTCCACTGAACAATTAAGAATTATGCCTAAACCAAGACTAATTCTGAGTTCATTTTTACTCCACATATTCCTTAACTTATTAAGAATTCTTTATTTAAATTAATATGTATCTGATCAAAGGTTGGAATTTTGCTTGGCAATTTTGGCAATTTCAGGGTATCCACCTGTAGTCACATATTCACATTTCTGCAGTTTCCTACACTTGAATTGTTAAAATCTAATATATTCTGTTCATTTTGTATACTTAAAGAGAACAAAATCTAAAGGATGTACACTGGGTTATATCAATCTTCACTTCTTTTGCTATTAATGTACCAGTTCATCATGGGCTCTGTTGCATAAAACATTAGAAAGCAGCAGATCCAGGGTCCTGTGTAGCCCAGCCAAATCCATGTAGAAATGACAGAATTTCTGCCTTCAATCACAGGCTCACCTGAAGCTCTGTGTTTTGAGGGATCAGACTTCCTCACAGGTTACCAGAAAGGCCAGGTAACACAACTCAATAAACTCAGGGACTTAGTGCTCACTCTGTGGAACAAAATTGACCACTGAGAATAAGGAGAGAAGAGTTAAATTCTGCTCACTTACTGTAAAGACCGTTCAGAGTTGCAGGGATCACTCCCAAGCTGGCCACACAGTCTCAGAGAGCTGTGTACAACTCAGGAATGCACTGCTTTAAATATCCTAACCATTCTTTCCTAACTTAGTGTCTGCTTCTCTCCATACCTTGTCCTGCTTTGAGTCCACACTCCCCACAGTTGTGATGTTCAAAAGTCTATTTTTAAGTTATCTCAGGCAATGATGTTTGGTTCCTTCATAATTACTACTTTACATATCCCTCAATTCTTCTTTCTTCTTTAACATCCCCACCCTCTCTTGACAAAACCACAACCCTGGTTTGATTCAACACTGCCTACTCCAAATTTGCACCTATGTCCTTACATGTAGGTGGAAAAATGCATAAAGCAAACTTAACTCTTAACTTAAATTTATATTTCATATTTAATTTTAAATATATGTCCATGAACCTCATTAAGGATTACAAATCCTATCTTTGCATCTATCACTGATCATTCTGATGCTTCCATCTAAATTCGGTTCCCCCACATACATGCTTGCTAAGTTCCATCTTTATTCATTTACTTAAAGACATTGCTTCAGCAAACCTCTCTTTATTTTCTGATTCATTACTTTTTTCTGTAATTTTGTTGAATGTTTCCCATCAGTATGCAAACATGTTTTTATTGCCTGTGTTAAAAACAATACACATGAAAGACACTTCTTTGACCCCTTTTACTCTGTAGTTATATTCTTCTTTCCTCTTTTCATTGTAAAATTCTCAAGAGAGTTATTTCTAATTCCTATTCTAGTCTCTCTTCAGTGCATTCCAATCAGGGTTTACTAGATTAGCAATGACCTTAAAGTTGCTAAATCCAGCAAGTAATTATATGTCATCATTTTTTTTTACTTAATTCACAGCAGTGACTTATTTTCTCATCCTTGATATGCATGTGTATGTGTATGTGTATATGTACACATATATATTTAACTTGTATTCTAGGACATCAAACTCTGTTTTAATTCCTTCTCGGTAATTGCTCCAGTTTAGTCTCTTTTGATTATATCTTCTTTTCAATCTGACTACTGTTACAAAGCGTAAGTTAACGTAACAATGCAAAACTTAGTCCTTGACTCGCGTTGGACTACACTAATTTTTTTGTTGTTGTTATTTTACCCAGATTCAGTGATTGCATTACATTCTGTATGGTGATGAATCAGCAATAGATAACTCCAGCCAATTACTCTCCATCTCAAACTCCTATTTGTTTATATGACTTTCTTATTGCCACGTCCTATTGGTCATGTGATAGACATTTGTAGCACAACACGACAAAAACTAAATTCTTGTTCATTCTGAAACCAGCTTCATCCACATTACTCTTTATAACCATGGATGACAGTTCAATCATTTCAGTGGACTAGTGCAAAAAGCTCGGAGAAATTATTTTCTTTCTCTTTCTTTCGCACTCCATAAGAAGTGAGAACGCAATCAATGCTTGTTATTCAGGATAATGTGTTCTACGAAGTTAACAAAAACACTGAGTTAGGAAATACTAAACCATTGCTCCGACATGGAGAAGAGAGTTTCTGCAAGCCTTTGGTTATAGCTTTTCTGTTTACTGATCAATATATAACTTTGTTTTATGGGGGTTTCTGTTTAAAGGCACTTTATTTAATATGCACTGTTGATTTATTAACATTGAACTTCCAGCCAATATAACTATGAGTCATGGCTGAGCAAAGTTTATGTAACAGAGGTGTTTTCTCCATAAGGCACATCACAGACTTCTTGCACCTGTGAGCACTAGACAGCACTTCTGCACTATGCTTGGGGCCATTTTAAACAGCAAGATCACAAACCAAAAGCATGAAAGGCAAAACCATGGTACTAAATAAACCATAAAAAGATTTGTTTATAGTGGAACCACTGAAACAAGAAAGTAGCATCACTTTATTTGACCTCAACTTAGGAATATGGATGTTGGGCAACTCAAATTATTCCTGGCTCTGTGCATGTACATGAATGTGCATGAAAGCAGCACAAGTATTGCTATTGGGGTTACAAATAATTTAGTAAGTAGGCAAATTCATAAATATTAAATCTTTGAATAATTTGGATTGACTACATTTTGAAATGTTACTTACCAAATATCACTAGAATGTTAATGTTTATTACCCTCTGGTTCAAATTATAATCATCTGTCACTTGGATTCTCCAAATAGCCTGTTTTATGTTGCTCCTTGCTTCCAATACCTGCTTTTTTACTGTCCATCTTCAATGCACCCCAGATGTAATGTATCTCTTAGAAAATGGGTGGGGGAGGAGGAAGAAAACAATACTGCTAATTATTATGACAGGGTACCTTAGATTATAATAGTTACTCCAATTTTTACGCCAGTTTTACTTGGGGGAAAATGTGTCTCTTAGAAGTGATGAAATATAATACTTCTTATTTATTTTATATGCTTAAGTTCAACAAAATCTAAAGGATATGCAATGGGTTGTAAGAATATCCAGTTTTTTTATTGAGATATCAGTGTAATCGCCTTTGATTATTAAGACTAAAGAAACCATGGCTATTCTCCCATAGCATTTTTGTATGATGTGTCCATCTTGTTTCACAGATCTAAATATCAAGTCCCTACCTTTGCTTATGCTTGCACTGCAGTACTGAATTTAGGTATTTATCAATTGTTTCTAAGGAAATACTTATTTCCTCACCAATAGGCTTTGAAACAATGCTGTCTGTGGTTGTGTCTTGCTCCAGTTTTTTATCTCTCTGACTTGAGGATTCTGTGACTTTTTTGTCTTTGTTCTCCTTACAGAAAGAACTATAGGCATACAGAGCACATATTTTAATGGTTGAGAAAAATAAGTTTCTGCTGAAATAGGATATAATATTGTGTATCACAAAAATAAAAAATTTTCAATATTTCTGGCTGCAGTAGCTCCTGGGTAACATGGTGTTGAAACTTTTTGGGCAAATATTACACTCACTGTATCAATAGGCCTCACTACTAAGACTGAGTTACGACAAAACTTCTGCATATAATTCCCATGTAATCATTTAGTGAAACTATTTAGATTTCATTTTCAGTGATAGTTTAAGTCAAATATAATTCTAAATTCCGTCTTATAATCTCTATGAGATTTTACTATAATTAACTCCGAATTGCCATTTTAATGAAGGCAAATTAATCTATAGAAGTTGACATGTCCAACCCCAATAAATAAATGGATTTAAACTGAATGCAAAGAGGCAGAGGAAATATTGTGATAGCAATAAATTGATAAAAATACAACTCCCAGTCAATTAAAGTAAAAAAGTAACCTAATCACATCCACATAGAGGTTACAAGGATTCTTGTTTAAAGATTGCCACCTTCAGATGAAAAATGCTGACTTTATGTGACAGAAGTTGAATCTAACCCACCTGAACTTACTATTCTCTTTTGTCTTGCTTGTTCCCTCTCCCCCCTCTCCTTCCTGCTTTCTTTCCTTCTCCTTTTAAAACTAAAAACAAACATTTATTTATAGTGATAAAACACACATGCTTTAAAGCCAGAGAGCTTTGGTTTCATGCTAGTAAAAATACTTATCATTTATTCTTGAACACGTTCATTTTCTCATACCTCAGTTCCCTAATATGCTATTTAATGGTAATGAATAATGCCTTTCTCAAGAGTTTGTCAGGATTTTCAGCATGAACTGAAAGAGGAGCAGAGCACAACGCTTGGCATATAGTAACTGCTTAGTTAAAGGTAACGAAGACATTTTACAACATGTAGAAAGTACATGGTTATCTGTATACATTTTATTATTTCCATGTTGATTGTTTCTTAAAATGATGTAACGGCTTTATACATCACATATCATTTTGCTTTAATTTACTTAAATCTAATGATTTTTAAATAATTTTGTATATTAATTTAAAGACCATTTACAACAAAGTGATGCCAAAATAGATGAAAAGCAAAAGAAATACAATATTTATAGTTTCACTGAACCATTACATATGATATTAATAAGTATTGATCACTTATAATATGACAGAAATGATGCTTAGTGTTTTACATGAATTTTCTTATCAAATTATCTCAATAACACTATAAGGTCAATACTAAACACTACTTGAAAATACGTAAGTATTCGGCAAACATTTTTTTCTTTTAAATAATTCAAGATGGATTAAAGACTTAAATGTTAGTCCTACAACCATAAAAACCCTAGAAGAAAACCTAGGCAATACCATTCAGGACATAGGCATGGGCAAAGACTTCATGTCTAAAACACCAAAAGCAATGGCAACAAAAGCCAAAATGGACAAATAGGATCTAATTAAACTAAAGAGCTTCTGCACAGCAAAAGAAGCAGAATGGGAGAAAATTTTTGCAATCTACTCATCTGACAAAGGGCTAATATCCAGAATCTACAAAGAACTCAAACAAATTTACAAGAAAAAAACAAAAAACCTCATTACAAAGTGGGCGAAGGATACTTCTCAAAAGAAGACATTTATGCAGCCAACAGACACATGAATAAATGCTCATCATCACTGACCATCAGAGAAATGCAAATCAAAACCACAGTGAGATACCATCTCACACCAGTTAGAATGGCAATCATTAAAAAGTCAGGAAACAACAGGTGCTGGAGAGGATGTGGAGAAATAGGAACACTTTTACACTGTTGGTGGGACTGTAAACTAGTTCAACCATTGTGGAAGACAGTATGGCGATTCCTCAAGGATCTAGAACTAGAAATACCATGTGACCCAGCCGTCCCATTACTGGGTATATACCCAAAGGATTATAAATCATGCTGCTATAAAGACACATGCACAGGTATGTTTATTGTGGCACTATTCACAATAGCGAAGACTTGGAACCAACCCAAATGTCCATCAATGATAGACCGGATTAAGAAAATGTGGCACATATACACCATGGAATACTATGCAGCCACAAAAAAAAGATAAGTTCATGTCCTTTGTAGGGACATGGATGAAGCTGGAAACCATCATTCTCAGCAAACTATCACAAGGACAAAAAAACAAACACCGCATTTCTCACTCATAGGTGGGAATTGAACAATGAGAACACATGGACACAGGAAGGGGAACATCACAAACCGGGGCCTGTCATGGGGTGGGGGAAGGGGGGAGGTATAGCATTAGGAGATATACCTAATGTAAATGATGAGTTAATGAGTGCAGCACACCAACATGGCGCATGTATACATATGTAACAAACCTTCACGTTGTGCACATGTACCCTAGAACTTTAAGTATAATAATAAAAAAATAATAAATAATTTCATGTACATTTTTATCTTTACATATGTACAAAGTATTAAAAATCACTCTCCACTTCAAATTTTTTTCTCAGCATAGTTCTTTGCATTGCATATGCATAAACCTAAAAACAAAATCCTCAGATTCACTTGGCTTACAGGTTTTCTTCCAAAATACAATTTTATACATTTTTCAGAAAAATGGCAAAATAGAAATTGTTAATGGTCACCAAATAGCTGGATAATATTTATTGTGCCCTTACTATGTGTCAGGTAGGTTACCAAAAGGTTTGTCCACAATTTCCTCTTCATTCTCGCCAAGTTCTATGAAATAAATGTTATTATTTTCATTTTATATATTAAGTAATAAATGAAGACCAGAGAATTTGAATAACAGTCTCAAAAGCTACACATCTGGAAAATAGTTCCTTTATTTGATTTCAAAATCTGCGATCTTAAGCATAATATGTTACCACTAGTCTCAGCTTGAGTGGCCCAAAAAGCAGAGCCTAAAATAAAAATCACGCATTATGTGCATATTACAAAGCATAAAAAAGCATTCTAGGTTGTTCATGATTGAAAAGCAGGCAGTTCCTGTGGCTTTTTTTTTTTTTTTTTTTTAGAAACAGGGTCTAATTCTGTTGCCCAGGCTGGAGTGCAGTGGCATGATCACAGCTCACTGCAACCTCAACCTCCTAGGCTCAAATGATTCTTTCAGTTCAGCCTCCTGAGTTTCTGGGACTACAGGCACGTGCCACCACGCTGGCAAATTTTTTTTTTTTTTTTTTTTTTTTTTTTTTTGGAGAGACAGGGACTGTCCATATTGCCCAGGCTGGTCTCCAGCTCCTGAGCTCAAGGGATCTGCCTGGCTCCATCTCTCAAAATGCTGGCATTACAGGCATAAGCCACTGCGCCCAGCATTCTCTGGCATCTAATACATCAGAGGCAATAAAGAAGCCCTAAGGTGGAGTAATAAGTCAAGAGTTATAGACATGAAATACAGAGCTTTTGCTATTGACTGAATAATTGTGTCTCCCCCACTTGTATCAAAATTTATATGTTGAAATCCTAAGCCCCCAGGGGATGGTATCAGGAGGTGGGGACTTTGGGGGTAATTAGATCATGAGGGCTGAGCCCTCATGAATAGTATTAGTATCTACAAAAGGAACACAAGAGAGATCTTTTACCCTTGCCCATATGAGAAAAAAGCAAGAAGACGGCCCATTGTCAGTAGTTGGGTCCTCACCAGACATCAAATCTGATGGCGACTTGATCTTGGACTTCCCAGCCTCCAGAACTATTAGAAATAAATTTCCTCTGTTTATAAGCCACTCAGTCTACATTATTAAGGCAGCTATTGTCAATGAAACCTGTCAGTCCACACAGGGCTGCTGCTGTGGTGGCTACAGTGAAGGGAGTATCCAATGGCTCAGATGATGTGTATGAGGTGTCTAATAGACCCACCTCATATGTCATTGATGGAGCTAATTGTCTAAGGGTTTCACATTTTATTTTGGGGAAAACCTAATTATCGGACATATAGGTTAAATGGTGATCCATATAAATTGTGAGTGAAACCCACAGGTATTTATAGCAAGAGAACAAAATAATGTTGCAAACATTCATAATTGGTAATGAAGAAGTGCTTTCCATAATACAAATATTCTGCACAGAGCAAAAAAAAAATTATCCAAATCTTCTTTTGAAAATGATAGTGTTTGGAAAAAAGTATCAACACTAAATTACCAAATATTTACATTTCACCCTTCCCCTGTGGTTTGGCTGTGTCCCCACCCAAATCTCATCTTGAATTGTAATCCCCATAATCCCCATGTGTCATGAAAGGGACCCAATGGGAGGTAATTGAATCTTAAGGGTGGTTTCCCCCATGCTGTTCTCCTGATAGTGAGTGAGTTCTCACAAGATCTGATGGTTTTATTAGTGTCTTGGCATTTCCCATGCTGGCACTCATTCTCTATTCTGCCACTCTGTAAAGAGGTGCCTTCCACCATGATTGTAAGTTTCCTGAGACTTTCCCAGCTATGTGGAACTGTGAGTTAATTAAACCTCTTGTTTTATAAATTACCCAGTCTCAGGTATTTCTTCATGGCAGCATGAGAACAAACTAATATAGTAATTTGTTACTGTAGAAAGTGGGGTGCTGATACAAAGATACTCAAAAATGTGGAAGTGACTTTGGAACTGGGTAACAGGCAGAGACTCAAACAGTTTGGAGGGTTCAGAAGAAGACAAGAAGATGTGGTAAAGTTTGGAACTTCCCAGAAACTTGTTGAATGACTATGACCAAAATGATGATAGTGATATAGAAAATAAAGTGCGAGCTGAGGTGGTCTCAGATGGAGATGAGGAATTTTTTGGGAACTGGAATAAAGATGATCCTTGTTATGCTTTAGTGAAAAGACTGGCAGCATTTTGCCTTTGCCCTAGAGATCTATGGAAGTTTGAATTTGAGAGAGATGATTTAGGGTATCTGGCAGAGAAAATTTCTAAGCTGTGAAGCTTTCAAGAGGAAGCAGAGCATAAACGTTTGGAAAATTTGTGACCAGCTGATGCTATAGGAAAAAAAAAAACAAAAAAACCTTTTTCTGGGGAGAAATTCAAGACTGCTGCAGAATTTGCATAACTAAGGATTAAGAAGTTACTCACCAAGACAATGGGGAAAATATCTCCAGGGCATGTCAGAGACCTTCATGGCAGCCCCTGCTATCACAGACCTGAAAGCCTAGGAGGGAAAAATGGTTTTGTGGGCAGACTCTGGGCCCCCCTGCTCTGTTTGGCCCCAGAACATGGTGCTCTGGGGCTTCAGCTCCATTTGTGGAACAACATGGTGTTCCAGTTGCTTCAGCTCCATTTGTGGCTAAAAGGGGCCAAGGTACATCTTAGGTCATTGCTTCAAAGGGTGCAAGCCTTAAGCCTTGGTGGCTTACACATGGTATTTGTCCTGTGAGTGAACAGAAGTCAAGAATTGAGGTTTGGGAACCTCCAACTTGATTTCAGAGGATGTGTAGAAATGCCTGGATGTCCAGGCAGAAATTTGCTGCAGGGGCAGAGCCTTCATGAAGAACCTCTGCTATGGCAGTAAAGAAGAGAAATCTGGGTTTGGAGCCCCCACACAGAGTCCCCACTGGAGCACTTCCTAGTGGAACTGTAAGAAGAGGGCCACCATCCTCCAGACCCCAGAATGGTAGATCCACTGGCAGCTTGCACTGTGCCCTGGAAAAGCTGCAAGCACTCAATGCCAGCCAGTGAAAACAGCTGGGAGGGGGCTGTACCCTTCCTACAAAGCCACAGGGCAGAGCAGCCCAAGACTGTGGGAGTCACTTCTTGCATCAGCATGACCTGAATGTGAGAAATGGAGTCAAAGGAGATCATTTCAAGTTTGAAGGTTTAATGACTGCTCTATTGGATTTTGGACTTGCATGGGGCCTGTAGCCCCCTTTTTTGGCCAATTTCTTCTATTTGGAATGGGTGTATTGACCCAATGCTTGCATCCCCAGTTTATCTAGGAAGTAACTAACTTGCTTTCGATTTTACAGGCTGATAGGCTGAAGGAATTTGCCTTGTCTCAGATGAGGCTTTGGACTTGGACTTTTGGGTTAATGCTGGAATGAGTTAAGACTTTGGAGGACTGTTGGGAAGGTATTGTGTTTTGAACATGTGAGGAGATGAGATTTGGGAGGGGCCATGGAGAGAATGATATGGTTTGGCTGTGTCCCCAAGCAAATCTCATCTTGAATTATCCCCATGTGTTATGGGAGGGATCCAGTGGGAGGTAATTGAACCATGGGGACAGTGCCCCTCATGCTGTTCTTGTAATAGTGAGTCAGTTCTCTCAAGATCTAATGGTTTTATAAGTGTCTGGCATTTCTCCTGCTGGCACTCATTCTCTCTCCTGCCGCCCTGTGAAGAGGTGCTTTCCACCACAATTTTCAGTTTCCTGAGGCCTCCCAAACCATGCAGGACTGTGGGTCAATTAAACCGTGCAGAACTGTGAGTCAATAAAACCTGTTTCCTTTATAAATTACCCAGTCTCAGGTATTTCTTCATAGCCACATGATAACAAACTAATACACTCTGTGATCTTTGAAAAATGGACAGCTCAATTGCTTCCTAAGCCAGTGTCAACAGAAGCTACCTTATTCAATTCACTTTTTTTGGATGTTGGTAATGAAGCAAAACCAAAAATCTAGAAAAGGTGAGCAGTATGGGATGAAGCTATTTGGCTCTTCTTCTTCTTCTTCTTCTTCTTCTTCTTCTTCTTCTTCTTCTTCTTCTTCTTCTTCTTCTTTCTCTTCCTCTTCCTCTTCTTCTTTTCTTGTTCTTCCTCCTTCTTCTTCCTCCTTCTTCTTCATCCTTCTTCTTCCTTTTCTTCCTCTTCTTCTTCTCCACATATTGGGTAGAAGGGGGAGCACTGGAATCAAGCACAGTTTAAAAAGTAAGCTCAAGATATATCTTATTGTTTATTTTTTCCAATTAATAATATAGTTAAAAAATATTAATTATAGGTGAACCTAGGAAACATAAATATATCATGAGTTATAACTTGATGTTTAGCCACTGGAGAATTTGCAACATTTGTTGTTACAATATAATACACATCTATTAGATTTATTATGTGAAGATATTACATATTTATTATTTCATATGATACTTTAGTCATCAGATATTTTATTAGGTAATTGCAAACAAATGATTGGTCTTATGTGAACAAGAGTTTGCTTTCCAAATTATCAACATCAGAATTTTAGTCTTATACTAAATGGTGCTAAAATTATTTTGTAATGTATTAGATATGTCATGTTTTATTTTATTATTGTGATTCACAAACATTGCTTTGTATTTGTCCAAATTATACTTATGAAATTTGTGAGTAATATTAAAATGTAGTTGTGAAAACTACTGTCTAACTCCTACAATTCAAATTATTGAATAATACAGGTCAATTAACTAAATGGAAACATAAAGCAATTATATAAATTTAATAAGATGATCTAAAATGTTAGTAAAATAAGTGCCTTATAAATATTTTATCCACTAATAATTTTCACTGGTGATTATCCATTGCAAATGTGTTTTTCAGATTCGATTAAATTTTATTCACAAATTTTGAAGAGTTCTTTATAATTTATTTAATTATATTATTTACCCTATATAATGGCTATTAATATTTTTAAGTAGAGGACTCAAAAGGCTTAAGTAAAAAGCTTTTTACAAAGTTATACTATTAGTTAATAAATGGTGGGGCTAGGGTGTTTTGATTCCAAACACATCATCAATTTCACCACATCATAAGCTAAAATTATACTGTACTTGTGTGGTGGCTTCCTGTAGAACAAATTGCTGTATTCTCCTTGAGACTGTATGTTTTTAGCAAGTGAAACAAACAAATCCAGAAAAACGACAATCAAAACAAAAGCCCAGGCTATACTAAGTCCTTACAAGATAATGGCATAAAACACACACGCACGCACAAGACGGAGAGAGAGAGAGAGAGAGAGAGAGAGAGAGAGAGAGAGAGAAACAACTTCAGCCCAAGTACACTAGAAATGTTGATATCATGCAGCTTGATGAGAGTGCAGAAGGTAAGAAGACCTCTCGAAAGTAAACCTACCGGAATTAGATGGATAACAGAAGGCAGGCTGGAGGGGACAGCATATAAGATTAGAAACAAGTAAAACGTTTCTAGGCCAGAAGGAAAGAAGAGAGGAAGGTTAAAAAACAATGAAAAGAACTACTTCACACATTCTAGGGGAATGGAAGAGGAGAGAGGATATGCAGACTCATTTTCAGGTAAGAGAGCAGAGAAGTGGCCTATCAGATATGTACTTCACTTCAAATTGAGGAATGGAGAATGGACTGTTGATAGTACAGAGGAGAATAATGATGTAGCCCATGAATGTAGTAGGAGTAGTATAAAAGAGAGCTAGTGTGCTGGGCGCGGTGGCTCAAGCCTGTAATCCTAGCACTTTGGGAGGCCCAGGCAGGTGGATCGCCTGAGGTCAGAAGTTCAAGACCAGCCTGACCAACATGGAGAAACCCTGTCTCTACTAAAAATACAAAATTAGCTGGGCATGGTGGTGTATGCCTGTAATCCCAGCTACTCAGGAGGCTGAGATAGTAGAATCGCTTGAACCCAGAAGGCGGAGGTTGCGGTGAGCCGAGATCACATCATTATATTCCAGCCTGGACAACAAGAGCAAAACTCTGTCTCAATAAATACATAAATAAATAAGCTAGTAAGTATGCATCTAGGCCCAAGTTATACCTACCATTAGACTAATTATAATAAAAACCACACATATCGCACTGTTTTACATGTATTAGTTTAAAATATTTAATACTTGTAACAATGCCAGGGATTAGGTACTTTAACGCCCTTTTTCCTTTGTTGGGAAAAATGAAGCATGAGGAGTTTAAATAACTTGTCCAGGTATGCACAATTAAAAAAGGATGAACAGAAATGCAAACTCAGAGGGCTGACTCCAGAGTCTATTTTCTTAAATCCTATCCTGCTCTGGCGGATGGCTGGACGCTTGAGGGTAGCTGTATCACACTTAGCAAATTACATGGCTTTTTTATACAGCAGTTGCTTCAAAAGTAAAGATGGGTGTGATAAAACATTTTGTATTTAACCTTTAAATCTTTTTAATGGGGGGTAATATATTGTAGTCAAGATTAGATCTTACTGATAAAGGCACAGTTTATGAAAGTACCTCTCTTATTTAGTCTTAAAAATATCTCACAGCACCAACTGCTGCAGATTTATCAAACTCAAGCCCTACTTACTGTAGGAGGCTCTTCTTTCCTTTTCTGGTACCAACTATCACTCTCATCTAAGGATTTCTTAGTAATACTTGTCTGAAACTCAATAGTAGATCTTTTTGTTATTGAGGCCCAGAAGTTGATATTCAGTATTTGTGGAGAAATTTTAAGCAATTTATTTTATTAATAGTAAAATTTGATTATATACTAGAGAAATAATTGGAGTGTCATCATCAACTGATTGGTCACTTGAGGAAATTCCTTCTGTTGATGATATGCTAGTAGCTGTTGATAAATATTGCTGGCAACTATCATCCTGGAAGTAGCTGTGATTATCATCCACATATCTATCAATGGCAGGGGCAGTGAGAAAATGAATAAAGAGGGTAGGCTCAGCCCACATTTCCTGCCAAATTTTATAGCACACAGACACACACAGAATTTTAAATTGAAAATAAGTAATTTATAGTCCTAGGTAACAAGAAACAGTGCACTCAATTTTTTATAATTTCTCTAAGTAGAACTCCAACAAACTTGGCTTGACGAACACAAGTTTTTGTAGTGCATTTTTCTGAAGAAACTTGAAAGTCAGAGTCTATAGATGAAGAGTGTGGAGTTTGGTCTTGTGTTAGTCACCAGAGGGTACTAATAAAAATGTCATTCAGAGTAACAGGACAGAAACTCTTTCCCATCTCTTATCTGCACAGAGCGAGGGCAGTAGCAGCTTCTTGTGCCCACAAAGAATGTCTTGGAACTGTAGATATAGAGAGTGCTCCCTGTAGCTGCTAGCTTCTTGCCAGCATTCAGAGACATCTGAAGCTAATTCCATCCAAGCAAACTACATACATGTCTGCTATGTTTACTGCACAAATGATGAATTTTAGGAAAAGTATTTTTTTAGATCAAATTGATAAAAATTAGATAAGCTATGTAATGTGAAGGATTTTTATGTTAGTGCACTGTTAATGAAAACATTGGTTTATTACACTTTTTCCCGTCATGAAGTTATATACCATAAATAACAGACTCATTGCAATGAAGAATTTTTCAAACATTCTATAGAGAATATTTTCCAGTAATCACACTCATTAGATATCTGATTAAAAGTAGCAAAGTATAATCAGCCAGAATCTTGAATCAATTACACATGGCAGCTTTACTATTCTCCCAGTGCATGCATAAAACTGCCATTTAACATTACTAACATTTGAAGTCTTTGGAAAAAAGTGGCTATTTGAAATGTTAAAAAAAAGAAAATGCCTTCAGGCTGGGCATGGCAGCTTATTCCTGTAATCCCAGCACTTTGGGAGGCTGAGGGGGCGATCACTTGAACGCAGGAGTTCAAGACCAGACTGGACAAAATAGTGAAAACCCGTCTCTACTAAAAATACAAAAAATTAGCTGGGCATGGTAGCAAGTGCCTGTATTCCCAGCTACTCTGGAGGCTGAGACAGGTGCATTGCTTGAACTCAGGAAGCTGAGCCTGCAGCAAGTCATGATGGCACCACTGCACTCCAGCCTGGGTGACATATTGAGACCCTGTCTCTGAAAAAAAAAATATAGGCTTCTGTATTCTTTCTAGTCATTTCTGTACAATTAAATTTATGTAATTTAATCATGTGCAAATTTTCTTACAATTTAATAAAATAAATATTAATATTAATAAGTATAATTCTATGAGGCATATCTAATAAAATACATCAAAATACTTCGTTCTGTCCTTCACAATATATTTCTTGTTTACAATGAATCTGGCTGGGTACAGTGGCTCACACCTATAATCCCAGCACTTTGTGATGCTAAGACAGGTATATTTCTTGAGGCCAGAAGTTCAAGGTTACAGTGAGCTATGATTGTACCACTGCACTCCAGCCTTGGTGACTGAGCAAGACTGCCACCAAAAAAAAAAAAAAAAAGGATAAAAATTTATCACAGCATGTGGCTAAATAAGATTTATAAATTTAAAATAACAGCTTGAGAAATTTCTTCTTCAACCACAAGACTCTCAATAAAATTTAAGATTATGGAAACATTACTGATAAGGCATTTTAAAGTTTTATTATTACTTTAAGTACCAAGGACTTAGAAGTGATCATTTGAGAAATCAGAATCACTTATTTGTATTTTTTAATTCTACAAAGACAAATGCGTGAAATGTTAGCTTGCTGCATTTTTTGCCTGAAACTAAATGTACTAAATTATGACAGTTTTTTCCTTTTATTCCTAGATTCAAATTGAATTCAATTGAATACCACAAATATTTATTTAATATGTAATCATTTTTATTATCTAAGGTATTTCAAGGAGGAGTGCGTAAAGGCCTCGAGAGATAAACGCCCATATGAGTCAAACATTACCAGACTGTAGTCAAGAAAGTATTGTCAATCCCTGATTGAAGTGTAGCTGCAGTTGCGTAGACAGGTATGTACACACCACACAGATACACACACACACACACACACACAGAGGCAGCAACAGTGATTAATATTTTCAAGTATTCAATTCCAAAAATAATCTTATGTCATATATTCTATACTTTTTTTCAGCCAAGCTATTGCCAAGACTGTAAATTAGGTGTGTATTATTTACACATCTTTTAATCTTTTTTCTCCTTAAATCTTCTGGAGCATATTATAGTGTAAATAAATTATTAAAAGCATGATGCATAAATAATATTATGATTTCTTATGAGATTTATTTAACTCAGGATTCAGAGGTTTAAGAGTGTCAAATATTTCCATCCACCAATGCATGCCTTAACAGTAGCTCCAATGGAAGCCACCTCAGAAGAGAGTCCGCTTTTTTTAAAAACTAATTCATAATATATTGCCAGTTTTACATTTTAAAAAATGCTATTTGTGAAGAATAAATGTTTACAATTTGAAATCAAAATTTATAAACTGTGAATATCTATCTAATTGTCCTAGTGATAAATGGAGTTGTTTTCTCTTATTTTATAAATGTTATAGGGACAGAAATAATTTGTAATTACTAACACTGAATAAATGATAAATCTACTCATGTTTTTTTTTTCCCCAAAAAGAATGAGCAGAAGGTCTTTTGGCAAATACTTTATTTTTATTTATTTATTTATTGAAACAAAGTCTCACTCTGTCACCCACACTGGACTACAATGATGCTAAACTCCTCCCACCGCAGCCTCCTGAGTAGCTGGGACCACAGGTGCCACCATGATGACTGGCTGCTTTTAGTGTTTTTGTAGTGATCGCATTTTACCATGTTATTCAGGCTTGTCTCGAATTCCTGGGCTCAAGTGATTTGCCAACTGAATTAGATTTAGAGGCAAGCTTTTGCCTCTGATTGAATGTGCAAATTTCATTTCACAATGGAAATTTCTGAAGTTTGTCCCAACTTCAGAACTTTGGACACCCATTGTAAAAATTTATGAAAGGTTAGGGAGTCATATCATTTATTTTGGTGAGATGCTTTGTGTCAGGAACAGCTTAGCAGAGGGATTTTATTTTTTATGTTGAGAGAAAGTCATTAAATTTAAAAACCCAGAGGTTTGTGGAAGCACAACAAATGACAAAAGTGATATTGTAGCTAATGGTTTCTGTCAACTGTGAAATTAGTCATAAACACCAATATAATTCCATGAAATCTAAGGCATATAGAGAATCCAAAGCCTGGCTTTTTACTGGTAGTAGAACACTTTAAATTTCTTATAAAAAACATATATATATATATATATATGATTTTTAGTAATTTCAAGCATGTATAAAAATCGGAACATGAAAATTAACACATATTTCAAATATGTAGTTACACAAACAGCTCAAGAAAGACCTGCCCCCATAATTCAATCACCTCTCACCAAGTTCCTCCCATGACACGTGGGAGTTAAATTCAAGATAAGATTTGGGTGGGGACACAGCCAAACACTATCAATATGCATGTTTTCAACCTGTTCACTTCTGAGAAATCTAGATGCATTTTACAGTCAGCTGAATTTTACAATCACCGCCAGCTGGTTGAAGTCATGACATAGACGTGTGAAAAAATCTCCCTTAGAATCTTCTGGCAAAACCAGGAAACTGTCAGTATCAGTGGTGCTTAAATTTCATGTGAGAAAGCTTAGTGAGTGATTAAATCAAGGGTGATTTTTTTTCCCCTTTTAATCTTTTACTCAGGTTTTAAAAATTGTATGATTTTTGTAAAGACAAAATTTATTAACAAACACCGTAAAAGAGAGCATAGGAGGAAATGAAATGAAGGAGGGACATGTGTTCTTAATATAGACCTATAAAGTCCCGCTGAAAGATTAGAAATAATGTCACTTTAACTGTATTGAAAACAAAGGTTGGCACAGAAACAGAATAGCAAAGAAAATTAAAAAGTAGAGAAGAGGAATTGTACTGAAATATTACTTTCTTTATTGCTTTTGAGAAAGTTGTTAGCTTAAGTAAAATTTAAAGTAACTAAGCCAGTTAACTTGATGTCAGGTTTAGGTCCTACGTAACACATACAACCTTGGCCAAAACACTGCTCTCACTTACATTTAATTATTTCCATTTTTTTAATTGGGAAATATCCCAGCAAGTTTGGGAAAGATTGTTAATTATGTAAGTATTGGGAAATGTTATAAAACACCTATTTGAATATGACTCTACTGAGTCATACAGATTCTGAAAAGTTTTAGTGTCAAGATATTTTCATCTTGAGAAATGCCAGTCTTATTTACAGATTTTGAGGGACAGCATTGGTACCAAAATTACCCATTGTAAATGTACAATTAAGTGAATTTTACTAAATGTATACAATTGTGCAAATCTGCACAATTCAGTTTTAGAACATTCATGTCACTCCAAAAATTTCCAACTTGTTCCTTTGCAGTCAATCCCCCTTCTCACCCTAAGCATTGATCTGCTTTCTGTCTCAATAAATGTGCCTTCTCTGGACATTTCATATACATAGAATCATGCGATATGTGACTTCTTTCACTAGACAATGTTTTTAGATTTATACACGATGCAGCATGTATCAGTAGTTTGTTAAGTTTTATTGCATACTATTACAATTTGTTCCTATACTGCATATTTTTAATCATTCACCAGTTAATGGACATTTGTATTCTTTTTAGGTATTGGCTATTATGAACCATGCTGCTGTGAATGTTCACATATGTGTCTTTGAATGGACTTGTGTGTTCACTTATTTTGGTAGATTTCTGAGTGGAATTGTTGTGCTGTATGATAAATTTATGTCAAAATTTTCAAGTGCCCAACTGTTTTCCAAAGTAACTTTACCATTTTGTATTCCCACTAGCAATGCATGAGGGCTCCCATTTGTGTACATTTCCCCCAACACTTGGTATTTTCTGTCTCCTTCTTCCATAACCATTCTAGTGGGTGTGTAATGGTATCTTATTATGCTTTTCATGTGCATTTCTCTAATGATTAATGACATTGAACATCTTTAAATGTATGTCCTAATCTTTTATATATCTTCTGTAGTAAAATGTCTATTAAAATTGTTGATCATAGTTTTTAGGAAGAATCTAAGAAATCCTTATCTAACCCAAGATCATGAGGCCCTTCTCCTAATTCTTTTATGTAAATAGTTTTAGGTTTTTCATTTAAGTCTTGTGATTTGTTTTTATTTAATTTTTGTATATGGTGTGGAGAATTTTATTGCTATTATCATTATTATTGATTGCATGTGGGCACTTTGGTTGTAAAGCAATTGGCCATAAGCACATGGTTTATTTGAATTTGCCAAGATCACAATAGAAGACATAAGGTTTCCACAATTCTAATGTTTACTGAAAAGCTCACATTTGGCCGGGTGTGGTGGCTCACACCTGTAATCCCAGCACTTTGGGAGGCCAAGGTGGGAGGATCACGAGGTCAAGAGATCAAGACCATCCTGGCCAACATGGTGAAACCCCGTCTCTACTAAAAATACAAAAATTAGCCTGGCATGGTGGTGCTCAACTGTAGTCCCAGCTACTCAGGAGGCTGAGGAAGGAGAATAGTTTGAACCCAGGAGGCAGAGATTGCAGTGAGCCCAGATCACACCACTGCACTCCAGCCTGGTGACAGAGCAAGACTCCATCTAAAAAAAAAAAAAAAAGCTCACATTTTATTACTGGTAATGAATATTGCCATTTATTTTTCTTGAAGTGTCAATCTAATTAATTAATTTCTCAAAAATATCTGTCAAATACCAAAGTCTAAATAATTATATTATTTTTAAAACTCTTTTCCTATATAGCTTCCCTCCTTCTCTCTGGAGCAACTTCTATAACTAAAGTGCATCATTTTGTCTGTAAGTCAGAGTAACTAACATTCTCTTGAGAATCTCCTTTCTTGATGAGTGTTCTGGAATATGTTTCCTGGAAGAAAACTGAGGCGATGGTAGAGATCAATTTGCTTGTTTCCTTTCTCTCCGGGACCAGAGTCTTAATCTGGCATTTGGGTAACATCAGAAAATAGTTTTGTCTAGTCCTTTGGTTGTTTTTTTTGTTTGTTTACAGATATAGGCTTTATGTGTCTTTTTTAGTCCATAGTCCATTGTAATTGGAAGCCAGCTACAGTTCTTCATCATATCATTTTAGCTGAGTCATTCTAGTAATTGAATAATTTTAATTATAGAGTAATATTTCTTACTTCAAAAAATAGTGATGATATATTACATAATTAGAGATAAGAGCTCTTAGAACCAAGAAGTTTATCTTAATATTTTAGCTGTTCCAACCCCCCAGAAAATGGACAAATGGTATTACATCAAGTTACAAACTTTCTACAAAGCAAACGAAACAATCAACAAAGTGAAGAGACAAACCACAGAACAGCAGAAAATCTTTGCAACCTACTCACTGACAACGGATTAATAACCAGATTGTATAAGGAGCTCAAAAAACTCTATAGATAAAAATCTAATAATTCCGTTTTTAAAATAGGCAAAAGTTTTTGAATAGACTTTTCTCAAAATAAATAAAACCGTACAAATGGCAAAGAAATATCTGAAAAATATTCAACATCACTGATTGTCAGAAAAATCCAACTAAAGCTACAATGAGGCATCACCTCACCCCAGTTAAAATGACTTTTATCCAAAAGACAGGCAATAACAAATGCTGGCAAGAATGTAAAGCAAAGGAAACCCTTGTACACTGTTGGTAGGAATGTAACTTATTATAACCACTATGGAAAACTATGTAGAAGTTCCTCAAATACTAAAAATAAAGCTACTGTATGATCCAACAATTCCTCTGCTAGGTATATGTCCCAAAGAAAGAAAAACACTGTATCAAATAATATCTGCAATCCCAAGTTGTTTCAGCACTGTACACAATAGATAAGATTTGGAAGCAATCTAAGTGTCCATCAGCAGATGAATGGATTAAAAAATGTGATGCTTATACAAAATGGAGTACTATTGAGCCAAAATAGTTAAAACTGCAGTTACATCAGCATGAATCAAAGTGGAGACACCAACTGTACGTGTAGTCAATGCATTCTTCACTGCCTTACACTTAGAATAAAATTAAAAATTCTAGTTCAATTCTAGTTCAAATAAATGCCTTAAATGATAAATTTAAAATTGTTATTTTTAAAGGTATCTACCACTGATTTATGCATGTTTAATATTCTGTGTGAAGAAATAGGGAGCATGCCTAAAGTAACTTAATGCTGAGTACATATTATGATGATTGGCCCAGAGAAAATAATTTGTGGACTATTTTGAGTGGCTGGGTGAACCAGCCATTGTTTTTATGGAATGTAACTTTTACTTGATAAGTGAAAGAAAAATAACATGATTATTTAGACTTTGATATTTGTCAGATAGTTTTGGGAACATGAACAAGTGAGAGACTGACTCCTCAAGAAAAGCAAATGGCAGTCTTCATTACCATTAATACAACGTGAGCTCTTGAGCAACAATTAAAATTTTGGAAATCTTATATTTTCTACTGTGTGCTTGGCAATTTCACATACTTGAAACTTTTTTAATGAGATAGGTAATGAGATTAATAAATGTGAACTTTTCATATCTTGTACTGTGTTAAAATTTGAAAGATTTACATAACTTAGTGAACTAATATTTTTAAAATAATGCATGATATTATGAAAATATGCATTGGTAAATAATTCATTTGAAGTTCCAAACAAGCCAAGAAAGTTTAATGCAATGTAATGTGAAAGAGTACCAAAGAGTACCAAAGTTCACTGAGAGGGTTTCTGATCCCATATTGCAACTAATCTTTAAGAAATTATCACTTGTTAAATTTTGGTGAAAACCAAAGAATAATATTCACAATTACTTAAAAAGGTCATTCTAACTTTTTAAACTACATTAATAATTGGACAGATTTTATCCAAATACTCCAACTAAAACAAAATATTGGATGAAGAAACAAATATTAGAATCTACATGACTTCACAGATATTTGCAAATGTATAAAACGGTCCCTCCCTTCTCACTGAATATTTTATTTTGAAAAATGCAGATGTTTTTAATAAAAGTATACTGATTTTACTATGATCATTATTCATAGTACCTAGTACATTTATTATTATTCCCTAATTAATTTATTACTAGATATTTTAAAAATTTCTTTTCAATATCAATATGGTAGATATTGATAGACACAGCACACACAAACAAAAGATTTTGTGAGTCCTCAGTAAGTTTTGGAGCATAAAAAATTGGATTAGATGGGAAGAAGAAAGTCAAATTTCTGTCCTGTAATACATCCCCTACCTCATTAAATTTACACATATCATGTTTAAATTAAATCCCACAAGCCATTCTGGATGTTTGCTGCTTTTAGATGGCATCAATTTTCTGTCCCTTTCACCTTCAGTTACTTAACAACAAGGTATTTTTGAGTTCAAATTTTGTCAGCAATTTTATATTATTACCAAATTTGCTATTTTATACAGAAATAGTAATTGGTTTATAGTATCAACGAAAAAAAATTTTAAAAATAATCATTATTTTAGACCTCTTGAAATTAGACAGAGCTACAGTATTATATCATGGGTTCTTCTAACCATGGTAAACAGAACGGTGAGGGAAGTTATATTCTATCCCTTAGGTGTTTGCTTACAAAGAGGAGGTAATGATAGAGGACAACAGAGAGCATAAAATATTTATGTAGTGCCACTTGTTTTGCCCATTTGGGAAATCAATATTTTAACAATCGTATTTTACAATACCCAGGATCATGAGTCTAGCGTGCTAAGAATAAGACAGTTTATAGAAGTGGAGACTGAAAACATAAAGTATATAAAACTTCTTAAAAGTGTACATCCTGGAGCTATAAAGAGAGAGAAAACCTAGCACTAGCAGAAGCTAAACCAACAATGTTCTCCTTGCTTTTTACCTCATACGCATTAAAACTCTCTTCCAAGTTTCTATGTTTTCTTTATGGTATTTGATATTCTTCCAACAATATTCTATAAAACAATATGCTGTGTTAATTAGGCTGCTTTTAAAAGATCTCAATTGAAAAATAAATACTCATACAAACAGCACTATTGTTTCAGAATCATATGGAGACCACTTTTTTGTTAAAATACTGTATGTTTAATGTAATTATTTTTAGTGTTGTTTATGATGTCTTAGACAGATAAAACTACCTAAAACACATATAAATGCACTTGATTACTGTAATAACTTATAGAATATATATAGTGAAAATATTCTCTGTCATATATGTGATTTAAGTAATTCATAATTATGGGGGGTTTTATTTTCTTTTGTTATTCCTGAAAAGCAAAATCCACCATTTGTTCTATTTACCAAGGTTATTAGATTTTAAATGACATTTAAAGGTATGAAACATAGATTATTAAAATATTTTAATAAAAATAAAAGTGTAGAGGCTATAAGAATGAATATGTGAATTTAGAATAATTAATAATTTTAAAGATAATTATGTTGGCATATTATAAAGTTAGAAAATTGAAATAAATATAAAAAGCATAAGAGTAAACTAATCCTCTCTATACGTAGTAAGCCAAGAGTAAGCCAATCTACTCTGTATATACATATATATATGTGTGTATATGCAAATGATATATGCACATATATACATAGAGAGAGAGAAAGAGTGGAAAGAAGGAAGGAAGGAAGGAAAGAAAGACGGAAGGAAGGAAAGAACAACTAATTCATTGGTCTCGAAGGAAGGAAGGAAAGAAAGGGAGGCTATGACAAATAAATTTGAACTTTATACAAAATCTAACATATAATTGCATATCTCTTTATTCCACTTTTTGTATTAAAGAAGAGTTATGCAATACAATTTTCCTTTTTGACTATGCATTTCTCTGAGTTTCAATAAATGTATAATCATGTTAACTGCCACTATAATCAAGATGTAAAACAACTCCATCAATCTCATCTACTCCCATCCCTATTTTCCTTTAATGCTTTGTATAACCCTTCCTCACACTGCCAGCTCCTGTCAACCAGCAATCCGTTTCTAGTTCCTGTAGTTTTGTCCTGTCCAGAATGTCATATAAATGATATCATATACGGAAATCTAATCATATCCTTAGACCCGGTAATCTGAGTCTGTTATATTTCAGGCAGTAACTCGTTTGAGATTTGTGCAGATTGTTGTGTATATTGAGTAGTTTTTTTTTAACCACTGAGTAATATTCAATTTTGTGGATATCCCAAATTTATTCCTCTGTTTACCAGTTGAAAGAACTTTGGGTTAATTTCAATTTGAGAACAGCTAAAAATAATGACACTATAAACCTTTCTGTATAGGATTTTCTATAAACTAAAGTGTTTACTTGGCTAAAATCTGGTGAGTAAAGTGTTTCTGTTTGTTTGGTGATTTTATGTTTAATTTTATGGGACTACCAAACTATTTTCCAATGTACCTGTATCATTTTACATCCCTCCAAGCATTGTTTGACTGTTTCAGGTACTTTGCATCTTTTCTAACTCGAGATGGTTTTATTTTTTAATATCATTTTAACCACTTACGTATTTGTGTCGTGTATCTTTTCATGTTTTCATTTGTATTTATCTGCTGATGAAAAAGATTGAGCATCTTATTTGCTTTTTGCTATGTTTATGTCTTCTGGTCAAGTATCTGTTCAATTATTTTGCCAATTTTCAATTATTATTAGTAAACCAGACAAAAAGGATACATACTAGGTGGCTTCATTTATATAAATTTCTAGAAAGTGCAAACTAACTTATATTGATAGAAGACAGTGCAGTAGTTGTCTGGTGATGGGAAAGCAGGGAATAAGGAGGGTTATTATGGGGAGATTATGAAGGGAAATGTGTAAACCTTCACGGATGATAGACATGTTTATGTATCAATTATGGTTATGATTTTACAGACATATATATGTTAAAACTTATCAAATTATACAATTTTAATATATGAGGTTTATCATTTGACAATTATGCCACTATAAATATATTTTAAAATGAAGCATAAACAATAAATGGGTACATATTATGTTTTCACCCACCTGCCTTTAGACAATTCTTATTACAATGGGCTAGCAGGACTATTAAAAATAAGTCTGATAATATGCTCATTTGCTCCATACTTCAATTAATTTCCCATCTTTGTCAATGTTTTTCAGGGGTGTAAAATTTCTTTCACCATTGCTTCCCAATGTACTGATCCCTAGGAGAAGTTTTAGAAACGGGATACTGTTGTGGCAGTGATGACTGGAGATCTACTTGTGCTTACTGGGATGCTAAATGTTCTACAATGTTCAGAAAAGTTCCACAAAATGATTTTTCTGATATTCTGCAAAAAAACATTTGAATTTCCTGCTAGACATTTATCCAAAAGAGTTTTGAGCCTAAAACACTACTCCATATTCTTGAGGATATTAAATATTTTTGCACAGTTTTAATAGAAAGTAAACAATTTAGGAATATAAATCACATGAAAGTGTAGGAAGGCTGTATTTGTTGTATCTCTACTTGTTAGTTTTTTTTCTTTTTTTACCATTTCAAAAAAATAACAGAAAGTAAAAGTAGACAGCCGCATCAAGTCTGTATTTATAGCTGTAACGTTCACATTTACTCTACACAGAGGTGCAAACATCTGACTTCAGCATCACATGTTCTGGAGTAGTTGTGCCTGAGCTTTCACCTACTGAAACACTCAGATTTTATAAAGACTTTACATTAATGTTTTTAAATAGTGATGTCAGGTGTTACAGGTTGGGTTCTCAAGAAACATACTCTCCGAGGTGGAGTTTAAGATTCAAGCCCTTTATTAGGTAATATCCTTCCAACTCAAATCTGTTGAAAGTAAGAGTAGGAGCAGGACTGAGCAGAGGGTGAGGTGGGTCTGCAATGCAGACCAAAGAACAACTAATTCAGTGGTCTCAAAATTTTGGAGTCAGAATATTCCTTCTGAGTTAGATCTCATTAGGCCTGGATGTCCAGGCATTTGTCAGTCATTTGACGTGGACTGCCTCAGTAGTTTTATATCAAGAGTACTGCCTTAAATTCAGTTTATTGTGAAAATATTCAATGCCCTGGCTCTCAGCATTTTCCCATTACCATCACGGATAGTTCTAAGACTCGGGTTTGTCAACTTTGAATAAACTGCCTAATATACAGTTAAAATAATCTTGGGGTATTAATTATTAATGCGTGACTACTTGACTACTGGAAGACCTTGTGAGTGATGCCCTTTTCTAGGCAGTGACATGCACGTAGGGAGTGTAATCTCTGTGGCTATGTACTGGCAAGTACGCAGCCAAATATCAGAACATTGGATTATACTTAGAGGCAAGCTTTTGCCTCTGATTAATGTGCAAATTTCATTCTGCAATGGAAATTTCTGAAGTTGGTCCCACTTAAGAACTTTGGACACCCATTGTAAAAGGTTTATGAAAAATTAGGAGGTCATATCTTTTCTTTAGATGAGATGCTTTGTCTCAGGAAGAGCTTACCAGAGGGATTTTATTTTTTTGTTGATGTTGAGAGAAAGTCCTTAAATTAAAAAGCTTGGAGGTTTGTGGAAACAAAAAAGAAGACAAAAATGATATTGTAGATAAAGGTTTCTGTCAACTGTGAAATTAGTCATAGACACCAATATAATTCCATGAAATCTAAGGCATAGAGGGGATCTAAAGCCTGTCTTTTTTATTGGAAGTAGGACACTTTCTAGCAGTTTTATTTGTTTTGTTTTTAATTTTATTTTCTTTTAAGTTCCAGGGTACATGTGCAGGATGTACAGGTTTGTTACATAGGTAAACGTGTGCCATGGCAGTTTGCTGCACGTATCAATCCATCACCTAAGTATTAAGCCCTGCATACAATAGCTGTTTTTTCTGATGCTCTCCCACCTCCCTTCCCTACCCTGACAGGCCCCAGTGTGTGGTTGTTTCCCTCCCTGTGTCCTTGTGTTCTCATTGTCCAGATCCCACATACAAGTGAGGACATGAGGTGTTTGGTTTTCTGTTCTTGTGTTAGTTTGCTAAGGATAATGCCTTCCAGCTTCTTTCATGTCGCTGCAAAGAATATGATCTCATTCTTTTTGTGGCTGCATAGTATTCCATGGTGTATATGTACCACATTTTCTTTATTCAGTCTATCATTGATGGGCATTTGGGTTGATTGCATTTCTTTGCTATTGTGAATAGTGCTGCAATGAACATGTGTGTGCATATATCTTTATAATAGAATAATTTTTATTCCTTTGGGTATGTACCCAGTAATGGGATTGCTGGGTCAAATGGTATTTCTGGTTCTAAATCTTTGAGGAATCACTACACTGTCTTCCACAATGGTTGAACTAATTTACATTAACACCAACAGTATAAAAGCATTCCTATTTCTCTGCTACCTCACCAGCATCTGGTGTTTCTTGACTTTTTAATTTATATTCAGGGACTCTTCATTCAATCTTAGATGCTGTTTGGTTACTTGGTATATGAATTTAGTAAATTATCCAGGTATAAAATGTTTATCTGATACATTCAAAGAAACCAACTTCTTTAGAGTCAATACCTGCCAAGTCAATTGGTTTATTTCTCAGTAGGGGTTAAAGTTTTATGCCCAAATTGTATAACCTTGGGTTGTGTCTCACGTTTGAATAGATAAGACTCGGTAAGCATAAATACGATGTTGGTTCCTTTTCTGCTGAAGGTAGACAATGTAAACATTTTACAAATGAAACATTTGGATACCAACAGTTCACAATGTGTAAATATTTTTCAAACCCATTGATGACATACTTTAAGATCATTAAAATATACCTGTGAAAGCATGTCAAATGCGTATTGCACCCCTTTCCTGAGAAGATATGCTGATATTTGTCTTTTAGATGAGCATAGAAAAGAAGGCATTAGCAAAAGCAAAGGCTGTATTTAAATGCTAACAGAGGCTGCAAAATATTCATTTACTGTAGATTCAACAGTGGTCATGTTCTTGTTAAAGCTTTGATAGTTTACAGTGCTGTGCCAAGTAGCAGTAGCTTCCAGAAAATGATGTATAGTGTTCAACTTGTATAAATCTTGTAAGAGAATACTATTTATTTTTCTCCTGAATTAGTTCATTATATGACTTTGGCAGCCGTAAGAAGTATGAAAGTTCTTGGCCATGTATATTAGTTCGTTTTCATGCTGCTGATAAAGACATACATAAGACTGGGCAATTTACAAAATAAAAAGGTTTAATTGGACTTACAGGTCCATATGGCTGGGAAATCCTCATAATTGTGGTGGAAGAAAAGAAGGAGTAAGTCACGTCTTACATGGATGGCAGCCAGCAAAGAGAGATTGGGCAGGGAAACTCCCCCTTTTGATATCGTCAGACCTCATGAGACTTATTCACTATCATGAGAACAGCACAGGAAAGACGTGCCCCCATGATTCAGTTACCTCCCATAGGGTCCCTCCCACAATACATGAGAATTCAAGATTAGATTTGGGTGGGGACACTGCCAAACTGTATCACTATGCATTTGAGTTACCATTCTAGAAAACACTAGCAAGTGTCATAGTGGATGTGCTCAAATACTATATTCACATGCTTGCTTCTACAAAATATCCATACAAAATATATGGGGCCTCCAAAGAAAAGCAAGCATAACCTGTACAGATGATAATGATAATAATGACCAGTATTATAACCATAATTACAATCTTGTAAGGTGCAGTACTTGGCTTAGGATTCAGTACTTAGCCTCCTCTTGGAGGAAAGAATGGAAAATTGAGTTTCAAAATTAGTCAATGTCTCTGTTTTCTTTTGCCTCTGACTGTGAAAGAAAAATTATTTCTGCATTTTCACATTACTCTATTTCATTATACATGTTTCTGCCAAGTGGAAGTAACCCAATCCATTCCTGACTTAATCTCGAGTTCAGTACTTTCTTCACCATCGTTATAAACATTGTAGCTTCTAGCTTAGCTCAGACAGGTAATATGCATAAGCCACTATTAGGATCCAAAATATATTGCTCAGAGGTACATAGTCATGAGCCACTATTGCCATGCAGTATTAATGTAAAGTAGCACTTACTGGAGAAACTCAGAGGCAAAAAGAGCACCTGAACACATATGATCTTGAAGCTCTAAGTATTCTACAAAAAGATCAGTTGGGGCTGGACATAACTGAAAAATTGTGGAAGAATTTCAGGAAGGAGATTTCACACTGTGATAATTTACATGTTTGTAGAAGACTTGAAGGAGGGACAAGAAACATGGGTTACATGGTTTAAACCATATCACAATTAGAGCTTTTTGATCAAGGAGAAAGCTTTGTCAAGACCCTTCTCCTGGTATTATTCAAAAGCCTTATGTTGTTCTGCTCAGCTAATTTTGATTAAGCTCCCAAATATAACCCTAGCACCATCCATATATGCTTTCCATTAAAATCATATTAATGAATCTATGAAATAGTGATCATAGTTATGCTTGCAAAATATCAATAGGAAGGAAATAAACTAAAGGTAATTTGTAGAATTTCATTTAAAAAAATAGAGCATATCTTAACAATGGACTGCATATCCCATGCCATCTATATACTTACATAAATACTATATTTATGTGAACTTATGTGAAAAGAAACAAGGATCACTGAAGTGTGCCACCTCTCCTTCCATGTAGATAACTAGAAATAATAGACAAGAAAATGATTAGAGAGATGCATATTTGTCTACAAAATATCAAGGTACACCTGAAATGATGCTGCATTTTAAAAAAGGAAAAGGATGTGGATATGGGAGAAATATTTACTTTTCATTGAATACATTTTCTGTAATATGGGCTTTTTAAATATCTTAATCTACTGAGTCTTTTTTTTTTCATTAAAATAAAAAGAACCTATTACTTCCCAGAACTTGATTTCCAATATTATTCTCCAGTAAAAATAACCAAGGTTCCATGAATAAGTAGCTGATTCTAGTGCTGAGGTATGAGAAATCAAAGAACATGGAGCATCTTGCCATGCCAGGAAGTAAGGATGGACACAATGGTGGAGACATTTTAAAGAGATATAGGATCCACCTGAAAGAACTTTCAGTGTCCAAAGCTGGAAGAATATGAGCAATAAAATAACTCATATAGTTGTATTATAATGTAAAATATAGAATAAATGCACATGATGTGGCTTGGCTCTGTGTCCCCACCCAAATCTCATCTTGTAACTCCCATGATTCCCACGTGTTGTGGGAGGGACCCAGTAGGAGATAATTGAATCATGGGGGCAAGTCTTTCCTATGCTGTCCTCGTGATAGTGAATAAGTCTCATGAAATCTGATGGTTTTAAAAATGGGAGTTTCCCTGCACAAGCTCTCTTTACCTTCTGCCATCCATGTAAGATGTGACTTGCTCCTTCTTGTCTTCCACCATGATTGTGAGGACTCCCCAGCCATGTGGAACTGTAAATCCATTAAACTTCTCTTTGTAAATTTCCCAGTCTCAGGTATGTCTTTCTTATTAGCATGAAAACAGACTAATAAAGCATATGAGTCCATATTAATACAAATAAATGACTAAATAAATAAATAGAATAAGAGGACATAGGCAAATCCGTGTAAAATAATTCCAAAAATTTATATAGGTACTCTCTATTCACAGATGTGAAACTTAACTTTCTTTTCTTCAAGTGTGGGCTGCATAAAGTGATTTCCTTCCAAAAAATTAAGTATGTAAATGGAGAAAATGATAGTAACTTTACAGTGGAAAAACATGACAGGCACAGTGCCATCCAGATGAAGGTTAATCTCAGTTGTAATAAGTGATATTGATAGTATGTTTCTTTGATGTGATGTGATGAGAATGGCACTTTACCTCTCTGATTTTCCTTCCCCTAAAATGATAATTATTATCTAACATTGAGGGGAAAAATCTAAGCAAACCCAAATTTAAAGGCATTCTGTAAAATACCTTCCGAGTATTTCTTAAAACTATTAAAGTCATCAAAAAAACTGAGAAATGTCATAGTAGAAGACCCTACACAGAGATGACAATGAAATGTATTGTTATGTCCTGGATGGGATTATGGGAACAAAAAAAGACATTAGCTAAAACCTAAGGAAATCTACATGAAATATAGGCTTTAGTTAATAATAATGTATCAATGTTGATTCATGGTAAATTTATCACACTAATAACCGAAGATGTTAATAATAGGAAAAACTCAGTGTGAGGTGTATTGGAATTCTCTGCTGTATACTTTGCAAATTGTATGTACTTTCTCTGTGTATACCTTGTAAATTTCCCTTTTTTTTAAAAAAAGGGTTATAAATATAATATGACAGTACCTGTATGTAAAGATTTCTTTTCAAACCTATAAGATACTAGAGCTTTTATTAATGGCCCTATATTTATTAAGAGAGGGTTACCTGTTTTATTGATTGTTATTGTTATAATTGTGGAATGATTTATTTTGAAAATATTTTTTAAAGATATCTTTTCAAAAATCTAGGAAAATAACACATAAATCTGCAACAATGAGCACTGCTGTAAAATTTTAAGAATCGATAAACCCTGCTGAGTTGTTGGGTTCATTCTACCATCTGTTCCAACTATTTTTCAAAAAATCTGTTTTAATAGATTACTAAGTATGTCTCCAAAGCTCATATCCCACAGGGAATAAAGATCCTGGAGATTTCTAATCATAAAAATAATTGTGTTACAACTTTATTAATTTGAATCCAGGTTGTGGCAATTAGCTCAGATCTGGTAAAAATTAGTCTTATTATTATTCTCTTTATGTAGATGGCCAATAGTGTTCAGTTATTAATCTATTTCCTTTCACTGTTTAAAGTATCACTTTCTAACTTTTATATCATGCCTGCTATGGATCTTCTATTTTCTGTACTAAGCAATAATATCCAAGTCACAATTCTGCTATCCAAATTTCATCTGAGAGAATATTTTAAGGAGAGCCCTGCTATGAACTAAGTGCTGATGTCCCTTGAAATTCATATGTTGAAACCTTTATCCCCTGTGATGGTATTTGAAGATGGGGCCTTTGGGAGGTAATGAGGTCATAAGGACAAAGCACTCATTAATAGGATAACACCATTTTAAAGAGATAGGAGAAAGATAATCTTTCTTTTTACTCTATGAGGGTACAGCAAGAAGTTGGCCATCTATGAACTATAAAGAGAGCCCTCAACAGTAACGGAATCTGCTGGTATCTTGATCTTGAACTTCTCAGCCTCTAGAACTGTGAGAAATATTTTCTGTTATTTAAGACACTCAGTCTATAGTGGTAGTTACAGCAGCCTGAACTGACTAAAACAAAGCTCTGACACTAGTACTAAAATATGGGACATAGAGTTAAATCATGATCTGTTTCCCATTTGCATCTGTGTCTAACAAAGATTCTAGATGATTATATCTTGAATAACTAAGGTAAGATCTCTCTCAACAATCTTGAGTACATTAGGAATACTTACAAGAGTGTAAGACACATATATTCAAAATATTGAGTTACAGACCAAACTCAGAACCGTGTGTAGAGATGGTTGAAATCAATTTGGAAAGAGTTGACACCTTAAGAATATTATGTCTCCAATTCATGAAGATGGCTGGCTAACACCACTTCGTGTATACTTCATCTACTTACAAGAACCAAAATAGTGTGTACATAACTGCACTTTGAATCTATTGTCAAAGAGAGAGCATGGTAGTTCAACAGAAAAGTGATAGGAAATATCAAAACTATAAAGGATAAAGAAACAAGCAGCATACTTGGCCAGGACTAGCTGGGAACCAGGAATGACTCCCCAATATGGGAAAAAGGTGCATGAGAATCTTTCTGTGGTCTAGTTTCCTACTGGGGAATCAAACAATCAAGGCCACAGGAGAGCTCCATTACCCGCCCAAGCTTTGAAACTAACTTAGGGAGCAGCTGGGAGACTATGAGAAAGAACTGCTCCAGGGAAAAAACTCACGTTGGTTCCCAGACCCTTTCTGAAACCTAAGCAGCTACAGCAAGATGCCATTTTTAATTCTAGCTTTAAACAGACTGTGTTCTGTCTTGAGAACCAGCATCATCAGTCCTAGGCATTATCAAAACTCATGCTATTGATTGCACACCTGGGATATAAGTTGGGGGTGGGCTCTTATAGCAAGAACTTGGAAATGACTGTGGATTGGGCTTTTACTGCTGGTGGTGGGAAAGGGGTTTCTCCTCTGGAGATTGAGGGGGAATCAAGCTGCCATAAATTATTGATCTTGAACTGGGTGGGCACTCTTAAGGCCTGGGGCTGAGTTGTGAGCATGGTGCAGACTTCTAGGTATGACAGATACCCTGGGTCCACTGCAATAACCTGGACTGGGGAATGAGCTCCATTGAGACAGGCATGACAAGGACATGTGTCCCCCACTCATGAGCCAAGACTGTGGCCACTGGAGCTGGCTGCACCCTCCCCATGGCAGGACCTTAGTGTAGCAGCTACTGCCCTTAACCCTAGCAATCAACCAGAGGCCTAAGGATCACTTTGCAGCATGTGCTCCCCATTGTGAGGCCTGAGCTTAAGCCTGCCCAGTCCAGCTCTACCTGGCTTCATTTCCACTCTTAAGACAATACAGGGTTGTCTGTTGTCTGAGGGACTGGACATTCCAATCCACCAACCAAGAACTCCTTCTGGGGCACTGAGGTTGGACCTGTACATCCCACCACTTCCACCTCAGCTGTCTCCTACCTGCAACTGCCATACATGTGCTGGTCTAGGGGCCAGCCTGCACAGCCCACTGCAACCACTACCAACACAAGCACACATTGCTTGGGATCTAGAAGAGAATGTTACCACTGGTGCTGCCATTGCTCCTACCACACTAGCAACGCAGGGGCTCAAGAGAATACTCACACACCTGATATACTACTACCATAACTGGCATCTGGGAAAGCCACCCAGAGGCCCAATAATCAGCTGGCCTGGAAATGCCAACATAGGTGCCCATGTACACTGCCCCAGATTACAAGAATAGAAATGCCTAGCTCTCCAATGCCAGTGCTGAATCCTGAAGATAGGCTCATCTGGCATTGCAGTCCCCAGCACAACTCTTCCACAGCCTCCACTATTAATTCCACTCTAACATGCCAAGGAAACCACAGATGCCACTGATGCTGTTTATAGCAAGGAAATAATATGGAGACTTTACTGCTACATGCATTCAGAAGGAAAGCCAAAGGGTCCTACCCAGCCAATACCATTGACACATCTTCAGAAATAGTCCCCCTTGAACAAAAGTAAACTCAAAAATAGGAAAAAGCGACTGTTACACTACATGTGCAGAAATCGATGTAAAGACACAGCAAACATAAAAAAGCAGGACATGTGACACCCTAAAGAAACACAATAATTCTCTAGCAATAGATTTTGGCCAAAATGAAATTCTCAAAATCTCAGATAAAAAATTTAAAATATTTATTTTAAAGAAGCTCAATAAGATGAAAAAGAAATCTGAATACCAATAGAAAGAACAAAAAAAATCAATTCAAATTGTAAATAAGAAATTTACCAAGGGGCTAGTTCTTAAATAAAAACTGAAATTCTGTAACTACAAAGAAATTACTGATGGGAGCCCAAAATACACTTGAAAGCCTCAATAATAAACTAGGCCTTGCAGAAGGAAGAATTTCACAATTGGAAGACAGTTTATTTGAAATAATTTAGTCAAACAAAAATAAAGAAAAAGAATTTTAAAAAGTGAACAAACAAAACTTCAAGAAGTTTGAGACAAGATAAAGCAACTACATTTATGAATTATGATTATCTCCATGGGTAATAAGAGAACTAAAGGTTTAAAAAGTCTATTTGATGACATAACAAATGAAAAATTCCCTAGAATATCGAGAGAATTAGAGATCCATATACAGGAGGCTCATTAGTCACCAAGAAAATACAAGGCCAAAAGGATTTGCTATGACATATTATAATCAGACTGTCTAAAGTCAAAGCGCAAGTTATAAAATCAGCAAGAGAAATGTGTCCAGTCACCTATAAGAGAAATACCATCAGACTAACAGCAGACTTCTCAGCAGAAACCTTATAGGTCAAAAAAAGAATGGGATATATTCTAAGTGAATATATATACATATATTTGAAGTGCCAAAAAATCCTTTTTAGCTAAGAATTATATACCCAGGTAAGAATATATTTAGCTAAGAATTAAATATCCAGCAAGATTAAACTTCATAAATGAAGAAGAAATAAAGCCTTTCCCAAACAAACAAATGCTGAAGGAATTCATCACCACCAGACCTGTCCTGCAAGAAATGCTTCAAGGTGTCCTAAACGTGAAAGCAAAGGAAAAATTATAAAAACAATGGAATTATAAATCTCACTGGTAAAACAATTTCACCAAGGAGGAAAAGAAAGTAATCAAATGGCACCACTATAGAATTCCATCAAACCACAATGAGAAACGTTAAGTGAAAAAGAAACCAAGAATTTATAAAACAACTAAAAAATTTAACAATATGAAAGAAGCAAAACTTCCCATATCAATAATAATCTTGAATGTAAATAGTTTAAATGCTCCACTTTTAAGTTCTAGATTGGCTAAATGCATAGAAAAAGAAAAAACATGATCCAACTGTATGTTGCCTAAAAGAAACTCACTTTAGCAGTAAAGACACATATAGACCGAAAGCAACGAGGTGAAAAAAGATATTCCATAAAAATGGAAACAAAACTGAGCCAGGCTTGGGAATGATGAGGGGTGTGTGGACAAGTGAATTCAGGGTTCAGACACTGCACACAGCCTGGCACACTGGCTGCTGGAGCAGGGCAGGCAGCTCAATGTGCTGGCACAGGTGCCAGCACTGTGGGGGGCTGTGGGTCACAGCCCTGATTCCAGGAGCCTCTAGGTCTGGGCTCCCCAAAGGACCACAGATCTTTTCTCCTTCTCATTGCCCACAATGTGGTGAGTAGGGGAGGCATGTTTCAGCCATGTTTGTGTTATAGCTCTTTTAGTCCTGCCATTCAGCAGGTCACAAGTTCTTGTCTCACATCCAAGAAGAATAAAGTGCACAGACAACAGGGGGTGAGCAAGGTGGAGAGGAGTTGCATTGAGCAACAGAACAGGTCTCAGAAGATCTGAAGTGGGTAGCTCCTTTCCGTAGGCAGGTCTTCCAGATGAGTGTCTAGCTCTTAGTGGAGAAGAGCCCAACAGCGAGTAGCTTCTTTCCAGAGGCAGGTCATCCTGATGTCTGTGTGAGTCTGGCTGAGACTAGTGTTTTTATGGACTTCAGAAGGGAGGAAGTGTGTGCTGATTGGTCCATGGGAAACCATGGGCAGCCCTGGAAAAAGCACCGTAAGTTCTCACTCCAGGCAGTGGACTTCACCTGGAAGTGACAGCCCCACACCCATGTTTCAGGCTATTCCTGGCTTGAAGGTAGGGCTTCACCAGAAACTTGCCTCTTTCCACCCAGGAGCCTGTCTGCCTCCTGCTGCCATCAACATGTCATCCACGGCACCCAGGCTGTTTGTGCTAAGGGATGTCTGCAGTCCTGCACCAAGCTGCCCTCAGCCCCCACTGGCCTCCCTTCCTGAGCTCGTTGGTGCCCAATGTTTCAGACAGGGCTGAGGTGACAGGGGAGCTGGTGTGTCAATGCTGCCCTGAGCATGCATACACCCAGACGGCTCACAACAGCACCTGGGCTCGGCTTCAACTTTGCTCTGAAATTCAAGCAAGCACCAGGAGTGTGGAGAAACCAGGCAGTGCGAGCAGGCACTTCTGAGCCTGCAGGGGCAGTGGGTACTTCCCAGGCTCCCGAGAGTACAGGGATGCATGGGTCTGCAGCCATGGATGGGTGGTTGCAGCTGCGCCCAGGAGGGTAGGGCTCCCACCTGTTCCTGGCTCCCACCAGCTCCGTGGAGTGTGCAGCCAGTGTCTTCACAGCAGCCACTTCAGACATGCCACCACTGCCATCAATAGTATTGGAAGAAAAATATATGCATAGTTCAATGGGAAAAAATAGAGAACCCAGAAACAGACACATATTTACAGCCAAATTATCTTTGCCAAAGCTGACAAAAATACACTGGGGAAAGGACACCCTCTCCAATAAGTGGTGTTGGGAAAATTGGATTCTCATATGCAGAAGAATAAAATTTGACCTCTACCTCTCACCATATACAAAAATCAACTCAAGATCAATTAAATACTTAATTTTAAGACCAGAAAGTACAACAATACTAGAAGAAAATATAGAGAAAACTCTTCTGGATAATGGTCTAAGCAAAAACTTTATAACTAAGACTGCAAAAGCTTAGGCAACAAAAGCAGAAATAGATAAATGGGACTTAATTACACTAAAATGCTTCTGCATAGCAAAATAATCAACAGAGTGAAGAGACAATCTGTTGTATGAGGGGAAATATTTTCAAACTATTCATCTGATAAGGGACTAAGCAACAGAATATACAAATCAAACAGCTCAACAACAAAAATAAGTCTATTAAAAAGTGGGCAAAGTATATGAATAGACTTTTTTAAAATGACATACAGATGTCCAGCAGGTATATAAAAAATTTATCAACATTACTGTCATCAGGAAAATGCAAATAAATACCACAATGGTATATCACGTTACACTAGTCAGAATGGTTATTGTTTAAAAAGACAAAAATATCTGAAGATGGCGAGAACATGGAGTAAAGGTAACACTTATACACTGTTGGTGGGAATATAATTTAGTACAGTCTTTATAAAACAGTGTATGGATATTTCTCAAAGAACTAAAAATAGAACTATAGTATGATTCTGCAATCTCACTACTGGGTATGTACCCAAAGGGAAAGAAATCATTAGCTAGAAAACATATCTGCACTAGTATGTTTACCACAGCATTATTCACAACTGCAATGATATGGAATCAACCTAAGTGTCCATTAACAGATGTTGGATAAAGAAAATGTGGTATATATGTACTATGGAATACTACTGAGCCAAAAAAATTAAATTATGTCTTTTGCAGCAACATGAATAGAACTGGAGGTAATTATCTTAAGCCAAACAACCCAGGCACAGAAAGACAGATATCACATATTCTCTCTTATAATTATGTAGTTAAAATGGGTTCATGTGAATGTAGAGAGTGAAACGATAGCTAATGGAAACTCAGAAGAATGGGAAGTGGGAGAGGGGAGGATGAATATAAGTCAGTATGTTATTTGGGTTATGGACACCCTAAAAGCACTGACTTGACCACTATCCAACCTATGCATGCAACAAAATTGCACATGTATTCCATGCAGTTATACAAATTTAAAAAAACTCAATTAAATTTTTGAATTAATTAATTAGGCTTTGAATTCTTTTCCTGTGACTGCTAAAATAATTTTACCACATGATTGCTGGCTTAAAAAAAAATCCCGGAAATGTATTATCTCACAGTTCTGGAGATTATAAGTCTGAAATCAAGATTGTAGCAGGGCTCTGCTCCCTACAAATATTCTAGGAAAAAATTCTTCCTTTCCTCTTCGAGGTTCTGGTAGCCCCAGGTGTCCCTTGGCACGTGATGGCATAAATCAAATCTCAGCCTCTATTGAATAACTTTAATATGTCCCACCTGATAACTGTGTATAATTCTTTGTATACATTGTTGTATTATATTGGTAATATTTAACTAAAGATTTCACATTTATGTTCATGAGATATATTGGTCCGTAGTTGTTCTTCTTGTAATATTTTTGTTTGGTTTTGGTGTTAGGATAATACAGGCCTCATGGAATGCATTAGGGCATTTCACCCCAATTTTGTCTTCTGAAACTGATCATAGAGAATTAATGTAATTTCTTCTTTAAATATTTAGTAGGATTTGCAAGTAAAATCGTATGGACCTGATATTTTGTTCTGTTTTATTTTTGTAAGGTAATTATTAATCAATTTCCTTAATAAATACAGCCCTACTCACATTATAGATTTCTTATATTATAAATTTTGAGAGTTTGTGTTTTCTAAGAAATTTGTTTATTTAAGCCAAGTTATTTAATTTCTGGGCACAAAGTTGTTCACAGTATTATAATATTATCTTTTTAGTAGCCACTAAATCCTTAGTAAAAGCCCTTGTTTTATTTATGATATTAGCACTTTGTTTTTCTCTCTATATATACATCTTTTATTTGTTACCCTGGTAAAGATTTATCAGTTTTGTTGACCTTTCTCAAAAGAAAAAAACATTTTTTGTTTTTATTCACTTTCTCTATTGATTTCCTGTTTTCAATTACATTGACTTCTAGTCTAACCTTTATTATCTCTTTTCTCCTTCTTTAGGTTCATATTTTTCTTAATGTGCTACCTTAGACTGTTGATTTTTATAACTTTCTTCTTTTCTAATATACACTCAATGATATAAATTTTCCTTCAAGCAATACTGTCATTGCAGCTAATAAGTTTTGGAAAGTCTTGTTTTCATTTTCATTTAGTTCCAATGTTAAAATTTCCCTGGAGGCTTTTTTTAATACTGTATTATGTGGAAGTGTGTGTTTAATCTTCAAATATTTGAAGATTTGCCAGCTATCTTATTCTTCTTGATTTCTAGTTTAATTGCATTGTGTTTTGAGAACATGCTTTGTACCTTTGTATATTTTCTGTTCTTTTACATTTGTTAAGGTATATTTTTATGACCGAGAATGTGGTCTATTTTCATGAATGATCCATGTCAGCTTGAAAAAAAAATTATTTTTTTTGTTATTGGCTGAAGTATTCTGTAAGTATCCTTTAGACACCCTTTATTATTGGGGGTGCTGTTCACTTCCTCTCTAACCTTACTGATTTTCTGCTCACTGGATCTATCAATTACTAACAGAGAGATGTTAACGTCTTCAACTTTAATTGTGAATTTGCCTATTCCTTTTTACAGATTTCATCACTTTTGGACTCAGGTATTCTGACACCGTTGTTAGGTGCATGCATGCTAAAGATTGTTATGCATTCTTACAAAATTAACCTCTTTATTAATGCTCCTATTTATGTGTGATAATTTCCTTGTCCTGAATTCTACTTTTTCTGCAATTATGCAGCTACTCCAGTGTTTTTTACACAAGTGTTAGTATAATATTTTTTTCTTCATCCTTTTACGTTAATCTGTCTGTGTATATATTTAAGATAGGTTTCTTGTAGATGGCATATAATTGTGTATTGGCTTTTGTTTGTTTGTTTCCATTCTGACAGTCTCTGACTCTGGTGTATTTGAGTCATTTTTTACTGTCCCTCCTTTTACTGCCTTCTTTATTCTTAATAGAGCATTTTAATGTGTTTTCATTTTCTCTCCTTTCATAGAACATAATTTATATTTAAAGATATTTACACAGTCCAATCGTGTCCTGAAAAGAAAATACAAAATAAAAGAAATAAATAAACATGTTTAATTATTGCCCTAGAGTTTGCAATATACATTTACAACTACTCTAAGTTAACTCTTTTCTTTTTCCCCCTCCCCACCGAGAGAGAGTCTCGCTCTGCCGCCCAGGCTGGAGTGCAGTGGCCTGATCTCAGATCTCAGCTCACTGCAAGCTCCGCCTCCTGGGTTCACGCCATTCTCCTGCCTCAGCCTCCTGAGTAGCTGGGATTACAGGCGCCCGCCACCATGCCCGGCTAATTTTTTGTATTTTTTAGTAGAGAAGGGATTTCACCGTGTTAGCCAGGATGGTCTCGATCTCCTGACTTTGTGATCTGCCCGCCTCGGCCTCCCAAAGTGCTGGGATTACAAGTGTGAGCCACCGTGCCTGGCCTACTCTAAGTTAACTCTTACATTATAACCTACTGATTCACAGGTAGCACTGGTGTAACATTATTGTCATTCATTTTATTTATCTATATGCTATAATTACCTAAAATAGTGATGGTCTTATTACTTTGAACAAACATTACTCTATTAGATGCACTAGGAGTAATAAAAATAAAATACTTCACTTTACGTTCATTTGTCCCTTCTCCATATTTTCTCTCTACATAGATTCAAGTTTCTGACCTATATCACTTTTCTTGTCTCTGAAGTACTTCTTTTTAACGTTTCTTGCATGACCTGTCTACTGGCAACAAATTCCTTCAGATGTTTCCTTCACTCTTGAGGAATATTTTTTTGTAGAAGTCTGATGCAACTTCTCATCCTTGTTCCTCTATTTGTAAAGTGTTTGTTTTTAATATTTTCACTTTGTTTTTGTTTCAGTTTGCGTATGATGTGCCTTGCTGTAAATTTTTGGTATTTATCCTGCTTGGTGTTTTCTAAACTAGCTTGGTATTGGTTGTAATATCTCCAGTTTCATTTCTAATTGAGCTCATTTGGATCTTTTCCCTTATTTTCCTGGGTAATCTCACTAAATGTCTATCAATTTTGTTTATCTTTTCAGAGAGCCAGCTTTTTGTTTCATTTATCTTTTGTACTTTTTTTTTCAATTTCATTTAGTTCTCTGATCTTTGTTATTTCGTTTCTTCTGTGTTTTTTTTGGGGGGGTGGGTATTGATTTGTTCTTGCTTTTCTACTTCCTTGAGATGTATTGTTAAATTGTTAATTTAAAATCTTTCTACTTTTTTTGACATAGGCATTTAATGCTATAACCTTCCCTCCCTCTTAGCACTGTTTCTGCTGCATTCCACAGGGTTAGTATGTTGTGTTTTCATTTTGATTTGTTTCAAAAAGGTGTTCATAGTAGGCTTGAATGATCTTTTGTATTTCTGTGGTATTAAGCCTGTACTAGTGGTGATATGTATTAGTGGTAATATGCCTGTATTAGTCCAGATTCTCTAGAGGGACAGGACTAATAGAATATACATGTTCGTAAAAGGGAGTTTATTAAGGAGAATTGACTCACACAATCACAAGGTAAAGTCCCAGAATAGGCCCTCTGCAAGTTGAGGAGCAAGAAAGCCAATGGTGGATCAGTACGACTCCCAAAACCTCAAAAGTAGGAAAGCCAACAGTGCAGCCTTCAGTCTGTGGCCAGAGGCCTGAGCTCCCCTTGCAAACCACTGGTGTAAGTCTAAGAGTCCAAAAGCTGAAGAACTTGGAGTGTGATGTTCAAGGGCAAGAAGCATCCAGCATGGGAGAAAGATGAAGGCTGGAAGACTCAGCAAGTTTCTTTATTCTAGCTGTATTGGCAGTTGATTAGATGGTATCCACCCACACTGTGGGTAGTTGTGCAACTAGCAGTTCACTGACTAAAATGTTAATCTCCTTTGGCAACATCCTCACAGACATACCCAGGAACAATACTTTTCATCCTTCAATCCAATCAAGTTGACACTCAATATTAACCATCACACTGCCCTGGGGTTTTCATATAGTAGAATGCTTTGCAGAAGTGGTACATATCACTTCCAGTCACATTTCATGGCCACACCTTGTCACATGGCTTCTCCCAAACACAAGAAAGCCAGAATTATAATCTGTCTTATGCCCAGAAATCAGAGAGTTAGAAATATTTGTTTATGTCACTTACCACCAAAAAGTAAAATAATGGTAGAGAATCTAATGACACACAAGCATTTTCATTTCCACCATAACAACTCTGCATTTGATGGTCTAAAATCATGTCAATATAAAGAAAAATCCTTCTAATATTAGTGGACAAATATTGGAAGCTGATACTGTCAGCTGGAATTTCGGGTCCTTTTGCCAAAATGACAATAAGGAAGAAAAAGGAGTTATTGACCTGCCTCAAATCAAGTTGATATCTGCTTTTTGGTATGGAAAATGTATAAGTAGAAACCAGTTATATTCCCATATAAAAATAGGACCTCCAAAATTAGGACAGAAGTTGGCAGACGTTTCCTGTAAAGGGCCAAATGGTGAATACTTAGGCATTGTGAGGTATAAGTCTCGGCAGCAACTACTTAACTTTGCCGTTGGTAGTGGTAAAGTAGCCATTGACAATAATGGGCATGACTGTATTCCAATAAAACTTTAGATGGAAATTCTGATTTCCCCATCTACTGTGGTTTGCTAACTCCTGTCATAGATCTTTAAGGAATGAAGATTTACAAATGTTTTTTGTGGGAATATTTTGCAATTTTATAACTTAAATGAGGGGTGAGCCATAGTAGTTATTAATTTTTCTGTTTTGTACTTTTTTCCCTGTTTTTCTTTTCCTTTCTCTACTTCCTCAACTTTTTATAATTGACTTTATTTTTGCTTCCACACTGAAGACACATTCACTCCATTTGCTAAGAGATTTGTAGCTGACACTGACAGTGCTTAAGCTCCTCTAGTAACTCCATTCAATGTGGGTTAGTGATTAGTCACCCTTCTAGACTTGTTTACTTCCATCTGTCAGACTTAATTTCTTGTAAAATATAAAATACATGGTGCTATTTTAATATCAACTCAAACATCATTGATGTAGCAACTTCAATTGCTCAAATACTTATAATGGCCTAGTCTAACACTATCTTTTATGAGTTGAACAAAAGAGAAGCATGAACTTGTAGTGGGGCCCTGTATTTATATACAAATATTGGGCTTATGTAGGGAATTGTGGTTTATTTGATTGTATACTTGACTAAATCAAGAAACAAGTTCTCTCTCTTATATCTGAGTCCTCTTAGTCCAGAGTACTACGGGCATTGTAGGGACAGCTGACTCACTGCTGTGATTTTAAAATATCATAATATCTTCCATTTTAAACACTCTATTTAGTAATTTGTAAATACATAGCTTTAAAGGATTTCTGCTTCTCTCTTTCTTCCCAAATTGGCATCTGTATTAAGGGAAAGCTTACTTGCCTCCACTTCCAAGAGATGGTGCCCTTGGAGCCAAATGTTCATCCTTTTTTCTTCCTCTGGGGCTTTGTTAGTATCTGTGGCAATATGTCATATTAAATACCAGGTTCCCTGCCAGCTTCTGCTGATCAGCTCTGGCCGACCCTGCAGGTTTTTTGTGATTCAGTCATATTTTCTATTGTATGTATGACTTATGCCATCCTACCCCACAGCCTCCACTCTGGGGTCACCTTACCCCTTACCTCAGTGGGGGATCATCACAATAACAGGTCCATTGCCACTTTCTGTGTCTCTCTCAAGGAGCACAGAGAAAAAAAAGGGAAAACCTCTCCTTTCAAAATTACAGGAGCTTGGGGAAATTTGAGGCATAAATCCTGGTAGCAAATGTCTCTGTTGAGCCTGCTCCAGATTGACAGAGACACATTCTAAAAGGTCTTCTCACAGAATCCCAAATGGGGAAGACGGGGCAAATATCTATTGTATTTGTTTGCTGGGGCTGCCATAACAAAGTTCCACAGACTGGATGGCTGAAACAACAGAAATGATTTTCTCACGGTTCTGGGGGCTGGAAGTCCACGATCAAGGTGTTAGCCATGTTAGTTTCTCAGGTGACCTCTCTCCTTGGCTTGCAGACAGCTGCTCTCTTAGTGTCTCTGACATGGTCATCCCTCTGTGCATGCATGCACCTGGTGTCTCTTTGTATGTCCAAATTTCCTGTTGTTACAAGGCCATCAATAAGACTAAATTAGAGCCTACACTAAGGACTTTATTTAAACATAATTACCTATTTAACGGCTCATGTCTATATACAGTCACTTTCTGAGGTACTGGGAGTTAGGGCTTCAACATGTGAGTTTGGAAGAAACACAATTTAGCCCATAACATCTGTCTGTCTCTATGTATCTATGTATGTATGTATGTATGTATGTATGTATGTATGTATGTATGTATGTATCTATCTATCTATCTATCTATCTATCTATCTATCTATCTATCTATTTATCAATCGTATATCTCTAGTCATTTCTGTTCTCTTAACCCCAATAGCAGGCATTTTGATCTAAAAAGGGCCTTATATTTTTTATTTTCCTTTCTCCATTTTTTCACCTCTCTCATTCTAGGAACCACTAAACTTTAAAAAATTCCCTTCTTCCCTCTTGATTCCCAGTGCCATACCCTTCTCTTTCCACTTACCCAGAAATACGGAGATAGGGGAATGTAAAATATGCACTGACAATATTATTATAATTACATATCTCTACTTCTTGAGACAAAAGATTAGATATGAAGATATAAAGCAAGTTTCATATTTATAAAATATTTCTGATGAATTAAAACTTTTGAAATAGTGTACAAAATAATAATATATTAGCAATCTATAAAACATAGTAAATGCAGATATAAATTGGAAATAAGCAATACATATTTTCTAAACATTTTTGCTTTAAATACCTTTAAAGTTCCAAGAATTATATGTTTTATAATATTGAAAAGGATTATAGACCATATAAAATAATTCTGCAAATCTCAAGAGGAATTACACATTTTCCCCTTGAGTAAATAATGTTCATTTTAATCTCCCGTGTATGGTTTCCTATAACATTCTACATGGCTTCCTCACATCTCACAGGTATTTTTAAACATAGTTTAAAGTTTATTGTACACCGAGGTGTTCAGTAATTAAACTTGCCTCAAACACTGAATTGAATTTTGTGAGAAATATACAAGAAAGATTAAAACTAACAATGAAGATTTTAAAAATATAAAGCTATCAGATCTAACTCTACCTCAGAAATTTTCATCTTTATTGTTAAGTATTGTGCAAATGCCTTAAACTGAGTTTAACTTAATAAGAAAAATAGTCTCATCCTATCAAGAATAAAATTAATTAAACTCCGATGATAGTAGATTCACTTAAATAAGAATAATTTTGACTACAAGCTTAAAGTTTCCAGTAAGGGTAAATGTTTGAGTTCAGGCTAATACTAAAACTAACCAAGAGGCTTTACCTAACAAGACAAATAATGATAGTCATATTTCAGTGACAATCTCTGTATAAAATTATCCTGATATTATTTTACCGAAAATTCCTGGGTTTTGCATATCACCTTAAATGCACCTAAATGTTTTAAAAGGATACAAAATCACAAAGAGAAGCATAAAGATTTTCTACCTGTTTCTAAAGTAGAGAATTGTTAATAATAGGAAATGAAACACACCATTATTCAATAGAAGATTGCAGAGCTTTCAAAATCTTATAAACAACCAAGGAAATATAATTTGCATTAAAGTTTATCATATGCAACTCTTGCTAAGAGAAAGGTAGACATAGATGACAAAAAGATAATGAGATAGATGGCTAGATGATAGAGCATAGGTAGTTTAGTAGGCAGTTAAAAAGCTAGGTAGAGAGACAGACAGATGGTTGAATACATAAGTATATAAGAGAAGAAGAAGCTGAAGTAATACGCTCTGAGAATGTTTTCAAAACATGTATACTCCTAAATACATAAATAAATCTGTTATGAACAAGAAGAAACAACCCGATGGTGGTGAAGGGTCAATATTGAAAAGTGGAAGTATTAGAATGAGTGTATAAGGGCTGGACTTGGTCACAATATCATTTACAGAGACCTTGAGATTTCAGTTTTTCTAAAGATAGCTCTTCTCCAGTAATTATTCTACACTAATGTGTGGGATATTTGTTTAAAAATGATCATTTTCCCCTGGATGTGTCATTTCTTTTTCACTGGGCTATCAATAGTTTCCTCAATCAAACAGCACTTCTTTGTTAGTGAAATGATAGGTGTGATATTTTCTGATGGAATATCGATGTCTATAAAATGGCTAGAAAGTAATGCCCACCTTTCCTTTGGGGCTATTACATGGATTGTCAGTAGCTTGCATATACTCTCCAGGCTTCCTGAAATATTGATTGGAGTAATGGGTTTTTATTGATGTGTCATTTTTCCACAAGACAAATGAGACGTCTCAAGAACCAAACTGAATGTGCTTTGGTGGCTACTAATGGGAGGGGCCTTACAGCAGGCAGATAAACCTAGAAGGGTCTAGAGGTCTTCCAAATAATATTACTAAGTCATCAACTTTGGCAATCAGTTGGCATCTTCAAAACTATATCCTGGGAAGTTTCCTGGTTGCTGCCTTTTCCACTTTCAAGCTAAGTCCAACAATTCACATTTCTGCCTTTCTCCTCCTCATCCTGCCTTTACTCATAATTCTATATGTCCAGCCTGAGGTTACTGTTCTCCTCTTTCCCTCTTAAACACATGTACTTTATCTTCTCAAATATGTTATTTCAACTTATAATTCTTGATCAGAATTCAGTGGCTGTCTAACAAGACCATACCCCTCCCTTGATAGAGATATTTTGGCCCTGCACCAATACTTCCTAAGCCTGGAATCTATAAAGACATTCCAGGCATTTGGACCTCCTATTTTCTGTCCCACAGGGGAACAGAAAGCACTAAAATACGTTTTTATTTAGAGATACTTCTCTGCACCGACTTGTGAAACAATGATATTTTTACTCTTTTCTCCATATTTATTATCTGCCTAGAAACTGAGAGTATCGATATCTTTTATTCCCCAAAGCTGTCTGCTAAATATCAACTGAACATTGTGTGTGTATGCGTGTGGAGGGGGTGTGGGGGTGTGGGTGTGTGCTATGTATATATTTGCACATATGTATGTATGTGCATGCACACATGTGTGTGCGTGGAGAAAGTGAGGGAGCAGCAGGGTATGTTATTCTTGTAACTATAAATCCTAACATTTGATCCCCAGCTCAGCCTCTAGCCACTACTAAATTTCAGATCAAATTAATAACATTGCTTTTCACTGCTTCCTTCTTAATCTCTCTCAATAGCCCAGAAATAGACTTGTTAAATATTAAAAGGTTGAACTTCTCTACTGGGGGCAAGACAGAAGAGAGAGGAGAGAAATTCTGCGCATAATAGTAAAGTCAAAGTTAATGATTCTGTGATTTCACAAAGGTTAAAACCTACATTCTCCATGCAACAATGCCTCAGAAAATTCTCCAGTCCTTGTCATTCCTGACTCACTACCCACTTCCCCCACCCCCAAATGTACTAAAAACTGGTTCATATCAGGGACTAATTAATGGAGAAATATTTTTATATTAAAGAATTGTGAAGTTACTTAGTCTATCAACTTATAAAAATGTATTGGTGGTGAGTAGATATAATGTCGCAATATATTAAATAGAATAGTTATTTAATTTCAGTGTTGATCTTGCTTTCTTTTGTAGAAGGTTCATTTTTAACACAATTTTGTTCACACATTTTTTCTCTTTCCTAGAATAAATATTAGTGTTTCTGCCTTTTTGGTTTGCTAAAAGTGCTAGCTCTGCAATCACCAGTGTCCTAATACCAATATTTTACTGGACTTCGGGAATCATTTTATGTAGTTATCACCATGTGCTGCTCTTTAAAAAAAGAAAAAGCCATGCCAACATTTGTATAGCATGCAGAGACCTAAAGAACCCTATGTGGTGCTTTTTATTCTGACTGATTTGGGGTATATAACAGCTTTCTGATGGATAAAAATCAAGCAAGTAATTTTGCTTTACCAAATAGCTCTCAATGAAAATGATCATTCTATTTCCTTACAGGAAAAGAAAGGAGGTCCCAGGGGACTTTTTTTTTTTTTCCGTTATGTCTGTCTATTCACTTAATCTCTTACCAAATAAGCTTGTAGAAATCTGAGAACTGATTCTGCCCACTCCCAGTACACACATTTTTATTCAAACACATCAATAAGCCACTCACCTAGGAAAAAACAATGTGAACTTAATATATAAAAATATATATATATGTGTATATGATCTTCACCCATATACATATGATCTTATTTTAAAAAATAGAAACAAGTGCAAATTCAACTTTGCACATTTAAACTTTCGCTCAACGAAATGTGAACATTTTTGTATTTCTCATTGGAATCTCTGTTAAAATGTAGCTTCTGTGATGGGGTTACATTAAAATGTATTAAACTAATTGCTATTTTTGAACATGTATGCTATTTCTAATTCTCATAATCAAAACAAAACTTAGTGAATATTGTTTCATATAAAGGCATTAGTAGTTCCTAAGAAAAAAAGTATAGAAGGGAAAATTTTGCATGTGGGCCATTTTATATTTTTTGGCACAATCACTAATCCTGGTATTATCATGTTTGATAAATAATTGTCTTTTCAAAGGAGAAATGTAAAATGATTTTTCTGACTTATTCTAAGTATGAAGTGAAATATATTTTAGCATAATTAATTGCTATATATTTTTAGCCTTTCAAATTGTGTGTACTCATTAACTTTTCCAAGTTTCAGCTGGAACATTCATTGTCTGTATACAACTTTAAGACTGGTTTATGGTCTGTTAGATATGTGACAAATAGTGTCTCTCATATTCTTTTGCTTTTTATGTTTATGCTAGATTTTGTATCACGTTGAAAATGTCACATTTTGATTTCTACCAACTATTTTCTGATATTATATTTTTATTTATATCCAATTTTGAAAACTTCCTTGTGTCCATGAACAGATATATGCATATTCTAATTTATATTTTCTGTAGTTTAATTTAGCTTTTGTTTCTTTTATTTTTGATGTTTGCTCATTTAATGTCTGAAATGTACATTAGTGTAGGATGTAAGGCAGGCATCAAAATGTGAATAGTTAATCTATATACTTTGGGAAGTTGTTCTGGTTTTTTAAGTTTTTTCTAGTTATCTGATAGTTTAAAGACCTCTTCATTAATTCCTATTAATCAATATATGTTTACTTGACTTTTTTCAACCAAATCAATGTGTTTACTTCCTTTACAAGACTATTTTTAATTAAATATTTACATTATTTTTACATTAATTTGGTACATATTATCTTTATATTCATGGAAGTTTTTTGGGCATTGTCAAAATTTTTATATACCTTGTAAAATTTATATGAGTTTTAGAATTTTCAGTTTTTGTTTTTCAACGTCACCCATACTTTTGATTCCAGAATGGAATCTGAAACTTATGTTCTTTCTTCCTGTTTTACTATATATATTTAAAATGCACAACATGCTGTTTTAATATGCATGTATTTAGCGAAATAATTACTATAGTGAAGCAAATTAACATGTTAACCTCACATAGTTACTTTTGTGTGTCTGTAGTAAGAGCATGTAAACTCTACTCTCTTAGCAAATCTCTAGTACAAAATTATTAACTATAGTCCTCATGCCATATATTGAATCTCTAGATGTATTCATCCTACATAAATGTACTTTTGTACCCTTTGACCTTCATCTCCACATCTCCCCTCCCTTCCTGCTCCTGGTAGTCACAGTTGTACTCTCTGTTTCTATATACCCAGCTTTTTAAAGATTACACATATAAATGGAGTATGCAGTATTTTTCTTTACCTGGCATATTTCTCTTGGTATAATACCCTTCAGGTTTATCTATATTGTTGCAAATGGCAGGATAGCTATCCTTTTAAAGGCTAAATAATATTCCTGTGTGTGTTATATATAAATTTATACCACATATTATATATATATAAATATATATACATACATTATATATATACACACATGTATACAAGTGCCACCATTTCTTTATTCATTTACCCATTGACTGACACCTAAGATTTTTTCATATCTTGGCTATTGTGAGTGATGCTGGAATGAACATAGGAGTGCAGATATCTTCATGTGGTGCATATATTTTTTGAGGGTATATTCTTATATTTTGCAATTATTGTCATTATGTGAAACCATTTAAAAATGTTATCTATCCACATTTCCCTGTAATAAACCTGACTTGATCACATTTTTTAAATATAATTTTAATTTTGACTTTTTTTTTTTTTTGAGATGGAGTCTCCACCTGCAGCTGGTTGCATGTGACCTCTTGCTCTCCAGTGCAGCCCCAAGAATAAACTGGGCAAGAGACATAACACAGCTATTAGGTGATGGGAGGGTCTGGGGTATTTGCTTATATAACTTACTGATGCCTTCCTTCTTGTTCTACTAAGGCTTAATCCAGATACACCTTTCCTGCTTATTATGGTAAAATGCTGGGCCTGATAAAATTTATGATTTATTAGGTCTTACAGAACTGGACTCATAATGGGTACTTTTGTATACACTGTCACTTAGAGCACTATGAGCAAACCATCTGTCTCTGCTAGGGCTGTTTCTTAAAAGGAATATAATTTTTTGGTGCAGATAGATGGCCTTGTTCCCAAATCTAAAAAAAATGTTGTGATGCTCTAATTGGGATTTGATATAAGCTCCATATTGTATATTTTTCCGCTATAGATGACTCACCAAAGTATCTGCTGAATTGTATGACCCAACCCATAGAGCTACCTTCACTACAGCTTGGATCTTTCAAAAAGCCCTTTCCCAACCTGGGGAGCCCTCAGAACTGGCTGCCTTCCCTATTACTTGCTGTATCATCCAGAGCATGATTACTATGACAAGGAATCCAGAGCACAGTAATATGTCTTTCAGTTTGAAGAGGAAGCCACAGCACACTCTTGGCCCCTGGTCTCCTAAAAAAGAGATTTCCAAATAGTCACAGGATTTATCTCACATTCTCTGGAGCACATTTGTCTTACCAAGACAATCTTTTGCTTATCCTATCCAATTAGCATGATTCCACGGGTGTAATTAATCATTATAATGTTAGTGGGATGTTCAGGTTGTTCAGGTCTCTTCTAACTATGTTATAACAGACGGTGAGCAACTTAACAGAGCCCTGACACAAAACTGTAAGTAAATATTGTTGCCTGTCCCAAGTGAATATGAACTTTTCCTGATGCTTTTTCTAATTTAAATAGAAATTGGTCAAGAAATCAATGGCCAAATACCATGTACCTGAGGTCTTATCAATGTACACGAGCAATGTTATTATGCCTGGCATAGCCTCTCCTATCAGGTTGCTCCTTTGTTGCACTTATGTAACAATCACTCTCTACTGTCATTGCCAGGATTCACACAGTGGCTGCAGAGGTCAGACAAAAGAATTAAATAGAGATCATTAATGGAGACCACATGCCACCCCTGCAGCTTTTTACACTTTAGTTGTGGTATGGGCTGAACTGTGTCCCCTCAAATTTGTATGTTGAAGTCCTTTTAGTAGCCCAGAATGTGATTTCATTTGGATAAAATGCCTTCAAAGAGGTATGTGAAGTAAAATAAGATTCTACAGTAGGTCCTAATACAATATGAATGTTGTCCTTATGGGAAGAAGAGATTTAAACAGGTGTGTGAATGCACAGAGAAAAGACTATTTTAGGACAGTGAGAGAGAGAAGATGGCTATCTGCAGGACTACGAGAGAGGCCTCAGAAGAAATCAAACCAGCTAATACATTGATGTTGGAGTTTTAGCTTCGTGACTGTGAGAAAATAAACTTCTGTTGTTTAAGCAAGCCAGCCTGTGGTATTTTGTTATGGTAGCTCTAACAAACTATCACAAGTCGTGATACTTGTCTCTATCATTATTCATATCCACTAAATATTATATGTGGGTTATCATTTTGACTGGGGGAAGGAAGCCATTTCTATTTGGTATTCCCTAGGGAGATAACTCTTATCCCAGAGGCCAATAAACTAACGTGGGGTTTAAGCAAATTGTCAACTAAATCAATTCCAATTAAACATTTGGATACTGAAGAAATAACCAGTGAGTGGTTTCTCAGACCCATTGGGTTGAATATGAGCCAGGTTCATATTGTAAGGATTTCATTTATTACCTCGCCCTTATCAGCTCTGACTCTACCAATAGGCCCAGGATGATGCTTTGGGGCTCTAGGTATTAATGTTATCTTAGACTCTATGTATAATAATATGAACTATCTGGATATTGCCACGTTACTAGAGGTTTCTTCCACTCAGGAACACAGCCATTTCTTCAGTCCATTGTTGCTGGGTCTGGAAATAGACTTCAGCCTGAGAACAGAATGAGGGAGTATGGCTTCTTGTTTGGGTGCCTGCCATTAATCTCTTGTTCCTAGGTTCTTACCTCTTTCTGGTTGTATGTCTTTGGTAGACTGTTGTTGACTACATGCCTATTTTGTTCTTAGAAACTTCATCCACGCTCTTTGAACCATTTTCTCAATTCCCAGTGGATCAAGCTTACCTATCTTTATGGTGTGACCTTCTGGTTTCTGGTGTTCAGGCTTTCATCACCAGGCTTCTTGGTGGCTTTGTCATTTTCTGCCCTGAATTGGTGGGTTCTTGGTCTCACTGACTTCAAGAATGAAGCCGTGGACCCTCGTGGTGAGTGTTACAGTTCTTAAAGGCTGCGTGTCTGGAGTTTGTTCCTTCTGATGTTCGGATGTGTTTGGAGTTCCTTCCTTCTGGTGGGTTCGTGGTCTTGCTGGCTCAAGAGTGAAGCTGCAGACCTTCGCGGTGAGTGTTACAGCTCATAAAAGCAGTGCAGACCCAAAGAGTGAACAGCAGCAAGATTTACTGCAAAGAGCGAAAGAATAAAGCTTCCACAATGTGGAAGGGGACCTGAGCAGGTTGTCACTGCTGGCTACGGCAGCCTGCTTTTATTGCTTTATCTGGCCCCACCCACATCCTGCTGATTGGTCCATTTTACAGAGAGCCGATTGATCTGTTTTACAGAGAGCTGATTGGTCCGTTTCAGCAGGGTGCTGATTGGTGTGTTTACAATCCCTGAGCTAGACACAAAAGTTCTCCAAGTTCCTACTAGGTTAGCTAGACACAGAGCACTGATTGGTGCATTTACAAACCTTGAGCTAGACACAGGGTGCTGATTGGTGTGTTTACAAACCTTGAGCTACACACAGAGTGCTGATTGGTGTATTTATAATCCATTAGCTAGACATAAAGATTCTCCAAGTCCCTACCAGATTAGCTAGCTACAGAGTGCTGATTGGTGCATTTGCAAACCTTGAGCTAGACACAGGGTGCTGACTGATGTATTTACAATCCCTTAGGTAGACATAAAGGTTCTCTAGGGCCCCGCTAGACTCAGGAGCCCAGCTGGCTTCACCCAGTGGATCCCACACCGGGGCCGCAGGTGGAGCTCCCTGCCAGTCCTGCTCCATGCACCTGCACCCCTCAGCCCTTGGGCGGTGTATGGGACCAGGCACCGTGGAGCAGGGAGCCACACTAGTAGGGGAGGCTCCCGATGTGCAGGAGCCCACTGCGTGGTGGGGGAGGCTCAGGCATGGCAGGCTGCAGGTCCCGAGTCCTGCCCCACAGGGAGGCAGCTGAGGCCCGGCAAGAATTCAAGCCTAGCGCCAGCACTGCTGAGGGACTCCACAGCTGCTGGCCCTGGTGCTAAGTCCCTCACTGCACAGGGCGGAGGTGCCGGCCAGCTGGCAGCTTCGAGGGTGGGGCCTATGGAGCCCACGGCCACCCAGAACTCCCGCTAGCCCACAAGCACCATGCCCCTGGTTCCGCCCGCGCCTCTCCCTCCACACCTCCCCACCTCCCCCCAAGATGAGGGAGCCAGCTCTGGCCTCGGCCAGCCTAGGGAGGGGCTCCCACAGTGCAGGGGCGGGCTGAAGGGCTCCTCAAGTGCAGCCAGAGTGGGCGCCCAGGCTGAGGAGGCACCGAGAGCCAGTGAGGGCTGCGAGGGCTGCCAGCACGCTGTTACCTCCCAATTTGTTGAGTTTTAACAATTCCCACTTATGTAAATACCTCTCCTTCTGTTGTTCCTGGTTTTCAGAGAATTGCTGTTATTGAACTTCTTAGTGGTGCTAGTGCCCCATCACTGGTGCATTCCTGAAGGCCTTAGTGAACTGTGCGTTCAGTGAGCCCTTCTGTGGAACATAATCCTTGGGTGGTTTTTCTGGGTTTATATAATATTGCTATTTTAGCATTCCTAATTCCCTTAGCTTCTTTATTCTTTTGACGTCACTCACCTTAGATATCTTTTTTTTTTCTAGCCTTCTCAGAGCCTCTCTAGTGGTAAACTTGCTCCATCCACTGGATTACTTGCCAGGTATCTCAAAAAATGCCCCCATGTCAGTGAATTAATGTTTAATCTACATTTTGCCCTTCTTAATATGGCATCCTCAAAATCCAGTCAGTTCATACGCTCTGGTTGCCTACTGAAACATACTATTTCACTCTTGTGGCTCTGTTAGTGAATAATGTCTTTCTGCCATCGTCAAGTCCAGCATATATTCAGTAATATTATGTTGGGATTTGATCCTAGCTATTGGCCTTGATGTCAGGAGAGGAAGTGGGGAAATCTTATTTGGGGGACACCTGTTGACTTAACAGAGAGAAGTTTCTGCATTATCTACCAACACTGGGTATGTTTTTGTTCCTACTAAAGAAGAGTATGTCAGCTCTACAAACTCTGAAGGCATTTCCCCATCTCATGTTTCAAGAGCACAGGAATTTTCAACCACAGCCCTGATTTTAACATGATAGACCTGCTTTGACTGAGCATTTATATTTTACATGTAAATATCTCTGATACTCTGTGACTCGAAGTATCGATTCTTCAGCTTGTTGGGCCATTGTCTGTTCTTTTACAGAGGATAAAGTGTCTCATATTTAGCTTATAACAATTAATGGGCTGGGCACGGCAGCTCACGCCTGTAATCCAAGCACTTTGGGAGGTGGAGCGGGGTGGATCACCTCAGGTCAGGAGTTTGAGACCTGCTTGACAAATATGATGAAACTCCATCTCTACTAAAAATACAAAAAATAAGCTGGGTTTGGTGGCATGCACCTGTAGTCCCAGCTACTTGAGAGGCTGACACAGGAGAATTGCTTGAACCCAGGAGGCGGAGGTAGCAGTGAGTCGAGATCACGCCACTACACTCCAGGCTGGGCAACAGGGCAAGACTCCATCACAAAAAAACCAACCAACCAACCAACCCTGGTTTTTGAACCTGGTTCTGGTTTTGAAAACCAGAACCATGTTCCACAAAAACAGTGTTCCACAACAGACATCAATTTGACATAATAATGAATCAACTCCACTGCTTTTGTAATAATCACTGTTGACCCCATATTTTTCAAATGCCTGAAATATTGCACCCCAGGTGGCAGTTTCCCAAGCCAGAAGTTCTCTCAAGTCACCCATAGACATGTGAATTCTTTAGCAATTTGGTCACCACCTTTTTCCAGAAACTATCAGTCACCACATACTACTCAGAATGGCATTTTCTTGGCTACCAGGTGTGAGTGAATGAGTCAGTGCTAGATTCCTATCCTGTTGTCTATTTTCTTGGATCTTCTGAAAAGGAGGAAACAAAGATAGGAGTACATGTATAAGATATATATATATATGGAAATGACCGTGAAGAATAACCAGCAAATAAAGAAGGCAGGGAGAGCCATCTAACACTAGTAGGTCTTCCATCAGTGAAGGAGAGGGGAAAGGAAGGAGGGTTGGACAGGAAGAAACACAGAGTGCAAAACAATTCCAAAGCAGGTTCAGCCAGGCTGAAAGGGAGCCATTGGGCCCAAATCTCCAATTGGTAGCATCTCATGTCTCACAGGAATGAAACTTTATTAGGACCAGGGTTGCTTCTAGCCATTGCCTGGGAGAAGCCTTTGGAAAGTGGAACCACAGTGTGAAAGTGGTGATGGATTCAGAAAGGCAGAAGCTGGGACCATGAATCAGTAGGTGCAGGAGATCTGAGAGGCATATTTTCACGGCTTTCCAAGGTTCTGTCTAATGTTCAATAGAAAATTGTGTAAATTGGAGTGTCCTCCATTCTCCCAGAGTCTTTTATTCTGTCTTTTTTGATTAAAGACATTTTAGAGAAGCCCTGCTAAGTATTTTTTCTACCTACATCCTACTTTCTCTTGAAGAAAAGTTGGGGGTTCCTCTTGATGATGTTCTTTAATGTAAACTTAATAGGAAAAAATTCCTAGAAGCTTAGGGTAGGAAGTGGCAGCCTTTTCTGACTTTCACGCTTATACGGATATGGGTTTTTATTTTATTTTGTTTGATCATTTAATTCTGGTTTTGCAAACGGAGTTAGAAGACCTGCTCACATCGTCATCTTCCTCAGATGTTCCCCTGCTCCACCGTGAATCCACCGGTTCATTCAATCAATGTGTCTAAATGGAGCGCAGTTCCTGTCCTCACTCAAATCCTTCCAAATTCAAAACAATGAGGTCTCTGAACTATGAAGATGATTTATTTTAGGTGAGGTATCTACTTGGCAATAAACAAAAGGATTGAGTAGATACATGCAGTAGAAATGAACAGTTTTTCAGAAAGATAGCATAAAAGCATGGATTTGACTCAACCCGGTCGAGTTAACCTTCCATGGTTTTCACAATTAAGTATTTATGGAAGATTACTTGTGCATGTGTTGTTTAATTCATTTATTTTGAGCATTATCATTTTAGAAAGTTAATAAAATCAAATTAAATCCTTGGGGTATTTATCTTTCAAAGAGCATATTGTAGATCTGTGTATTAAAAAGATCCAAAGAACAGAGAGAAGCCGCCATTGGAATTGAAATAGTTGCATAGATGTTGATTACTTTTTTGAAATGTTCATGCATATTTTGTAATAATAATTAGCATAAAATATATTAACATGCAGTCATTGGCAAATCTTTTTAAATAGGACAATTTTTATTGAAATAGATCTATAGATTGGTACACTCCCCATTTTATAATCCAATGTGTTAATGGTAAATTTTTAGGTTTTTTTTTAATAAGTGAAGTGAGAAATTAAAAAGACAAAATAAGTATTACAAACCAAAAATTTAAGAAATTGATGTACTATTTTATTTTAATATAGATTTTAAAAATCTTTTTGTTTTCTCCAATATTTTCTAGTTTTTTTAAACCACAGCTTAGTTTATCAACTTTTAAAAATTATTTATTATTTACTAAGCATTAAACAGCATTTTCATGTAAATACACACACACAGTGATTTTGGCACAAGATATCAGAAAATTGTATAGTAATTAAATCATCTAGTACCTTTCATATTTTTATTTGGTGTAAGTGAATTGAGAATAACCTTGATGGACTCTTAGTATCTCAACTCATGGTAACTGTAAGTGCCAAGTTCTTTTAATAAATAACCTAATAGCCATCAATGTTCCAAAGCCCTGCTCATTAGTAAATATTTTACCCTGGGAATGGAGAAAAAAGGTTGAAATCCAGCAAGTTGCTTAATTAACAGATGATTAAGGAAGTGTTCTACTGTACATGCAATTTCCACATTTTCCTATTTATTTATTTATTTATTTATTTTGGAGATGTCTCTTACTTCGTTGCCCAGGCTGGAGTGCAGTGGGGTGATCTCGGCTCACTGCAACCTCCACTTCCTGGGTTCAAGCAATTCTCATGCCTCAGCCACCTGAGTAGCTGGGATTACAGGTACCCACCACCAAGCCTGGCTAACTTTTGTATTTTTAGTAGAGACGGGGTTTTACCATGTTGGTCAGGCTGGTCTTGAGCTCTTGACCTCAAGTGATCCGCCCGTCTCAGCCTCCCCAAGTCGTGAGTTATCAAGTCCTGCTTCCACATTTTCAAGGTTTTATTTTTGTAGTGTATTTGCAAACAATATGACAATGTGCTGTATAAAAATATTAGGTAAGAAAAATATATAGCAATGCCCAGAAACAAAGAGAAAAACCGTTCACTTTCACAAGTTTGATATTAAAACTGCTAGACACTTTAAGCTACATAATTATATTTATGTATTTAACAATTATATAATCGTTTCAATGTCAGATGAGATAAAGAAACAAATTATGTAAACAATACTTTTAGAGGTAATATTTCATAATAATTCACATGCACTCGGTACTGATTTGAAATTTAGGATACCTTATTAATTGATGAAAATAATCATCTGCCTAGAAAACAATTATAATCAACATAAAACATTAAAAGAGTACTTGAATTTTACATATATTATTCTAAAATTAGTTTTGTATTAATTGAGAATACTGTGCTGTTTGTCATTTCTGTTTGCCTATGTTTTGTCTCACCTACCTCTGTGTCAAACAACACCATCATTATAACTCCAGTTGAGATATCTCAATTATTATAGTTTTTTTTTAATCTGGATAACTAGCAAATATAATACCTTACCAGAAGATAACCCTTTTTGGCTCTCTTTAGATATTTTGACCTACTTAATCTAATTCTTGATTTCAAAAATTTATTACTGGGTTGTTTTCATACCCTATGGACTTCCTCAAATAACATAGATAAATGAGAAGTTCAAGTTGTCTAATACAGCAAACCAATTTTTCAGTATATTTCCTATATCCAAGAAAAGCTCATAAATTCCTAAAGAACTGTTTCATTGGAATTTGACCTTTGTTTGTCAACGTTATTTATATTCATTAAATTTCTCCCTATTACTAATTCAGTTTCCAAAGTACTTATGATCATAATTTTGCCTAGTATTCCCTTGTAGGAAAACATATTAATAATTAAAAGTCTAAGTTCAAGTCTTTTATGGGTTAATGTATACATGAAAATATTTTTTTTAAATACATCAATGCTTTAGTGTTCATGAGCAATATAATTCTAAAATGAACAGGAAAATACTGGCAAATAAACTTCATTATCTATTTTTATCACAACTTTGTTGCCTTTATTGCTGCTATTTCAGCTCTAAAATGAGGACGTTCAATGCACTGGGATTGAGAAAAACTATTAAAATTATTCTGTGTGATACCAACATGCCCTTTTCTGGACCTGTGTTACTGACTCCACTTGAAAACTGCCAAGACTTTTAGGACAGCTGATTTGATTTTATTGCTATGCTATTGAAGATGCTTAACCTGTGCATTTTGCTTTCCCCTTGCACTATCTTCTTTGTGGACTAACAAGCCATTAACCATGGGGACAGAGAGCTGTTTGTCTTGTAAAATTATTTCCAAAAGCAGCCCTAAAAGCATCCTTTCTTCTTTAAGAGATATTAGTGTCTCTCTCTCTCTCTCAAGAACATCTTAGTGCAAAACATTTTTTTTCATGAAGTGTTCAAACACCTAACATCTGAAATTCACATATAAGAGGCAGTAAAAGTTTAACATTCAAAAACCATATAAGCTCAAAATATGTCATTTTATGATTTTGAAGTGCTGCATATTATTGAAGTAAGAGTGCTTCCACATAGAGAGGCAAAAGCCTCATAGAGAAAATATTTGTAGTTATGTCCTCTGTCAAAGACATCTTTAAGCTGTTTTCTTAAAGGCACATTTTCTGGGCAAAATAATTTTTCTTTACAATGCAGCAGATTACTTGTTCACTCAGATATTAAGAGTGGATTATGTAAGCTTTTCTAAACTTGAATACAGCGTGCTTGTAAGAGAGTAAGTAGCTGCCAAGTATGTTACATAGGAGATAAACCTCTGTAGACTTGTAACTGAGGACATAAGGGTAAGTGATCAACTAATGCCCAAAATATTTGTCTGTACATTGTCCTCCCTCAATATAACCCTTAGAGTTAACCATCAAGCACCTGCTCCCTACACAATGCTTTAGAGTACTTCTGTTTTGCCCTCCATTTGTCATCCCACTTTCCAGTGTGACTGGATGGCAGGAGCTAAGGATTCCTGCCCACCTGAAGCCTGTTATACCTTCTGCATGGAATTTATATCTCAGAGCTCTCCTCCTCTTATTCCTCCATAGTTCATTTCCCCGAGGCTACAGAAAGGTGACTTTACTACTAGTGTGCTCACCATTAAGCCCTAATGTTAAGCGTGAGGCTTCTGTGGTTGACTCAATGGCTGTGGATGGAGCTTGGATGTGAGGGCTGAGATGTTCCTTTTAGTGAAGAGTTATAGAGGAATAGAAGGGGAAATGCTGGGTGACTACATTTGTACTCTTGACTTGGACTTGCAAACACAGATGTTATGTGCGGGCCTAGTCTTCCTTACTAAGTCTGTGTACTTCTTGAAAGACAAAAAAAAAAAATGCTTAATTATCTTTATTTTCCAAAGCCTGGCATTTAAAACAATTATTTAGTAGGATTTGTCCAACATGAACTAACAAATTTATTGTCCCTGGGCAAGATTCCACCTGTAGACATTTTGTGTTGGGTCTGCAGTATTTCATAATATTTAAATTTTATTTGGAATAAATCTCTAAAATTGGGGAAAATTTGCATAGTAATCTTGCTTGTCTGAAAAAAAAATTAAAAACACTCATCCACATTCCCAAAAGTCATCATCAAAGAGCAGCTGCTCTCTAGTTACAAAAATCTTGTGTGGTTAGTCCTGTTTGTCATGGTCCAGAGATTCTGTTGTTAAATCTTACAACCATTTCAATGGTGCAGTTTCCCATCTGTGTCCTATAGGAATTTGAATGTTATATCTGCAATAAACCTGTATGAAATTAATGAGAAATTAAAACATAGAATATGTAAGTATGGTGTTTACATTCTGACCATCTCTGAATAGTGGTTAAAACAAAATTCTCTTGTGAAGGATTGAGTTTCACAAATGAACTGGTACTGACTCTGTATCTATGAAGTATAATCTAGTGCTTACATTTTATGGCAAATTATCCATAGACTCATTATTGTTAAACAACTCCTGAATGTTAAATATACCTTTTTGAGATTCCTAATCAGAAAATTTATGAAAGAGAAACTTTTGATTATGATCTGCTTTGTATCTGAAATCAAGTCCCTCTAATTTAAATTATCCTAGTTCTCAAAAGCCTTGTTAAAGCTTCATGCCTCAAAATGCTATGGTGACCCAAATATATTTTTCTTTTCAAAATGTCCGTTTATCCCATTGGACTAAAACATTTTACTGTTAATGCCTTTCTTTTCAGCATCAAATCTTAGGTAATTTATGAAAGAAAAAAATGGTAGGTAATTTATTATGTATGGATTTATATTTTGATGTGATTTGGCTGTGTCCCCATTCCAATCTCAACTGAATTTTATCTCCCAGAATTCCCACGTGTTGTGGGAGGGAGCTAGGGAGATGCCATTGAATCATGGGGGCGGGTCTTTCTGGTGCTGTTCTCGTGATAGTAAATGAGTCTCATGAGACCTGATGAGTTTATCAGGGGTTTCCGCTTTTGCCTCTTCCTCATTTTCCCTTGCCACTCTCATGTAAGAAGTGACTTTACCTCCCGCCATGATTCTGAGGACTTCTCCTGGCATGTGGAACTGTAAGACCAAGTAAGCCTCTTTTTCTTCCCAGTCTCGGGTATGACTTTAACAGCAGAATGAAAACAGACTAATACATATTTCTTATTTCTTTTTTCATGGTAACTTTGAAAGATATGTGATATCTCTTATTACAAATGAAATAGGCTATTTTTGTATTACATGTTTTATTTCAATAAGTAGTTTTTAAATAATTCTATAAAATAGGTAATAATTTCCTATTGATGGCATTTGTATTATAGCTGTGACTACCAGAAAGAAAAGGAAATAATGCATAGGGAAGATATTTTAAAATAAATAATACACTGTTCTCTGTGTGATAAAAAGATTGAATCAAAGAGGGTGACTCATTTTAAAACTGGAGTTAAAACCACTTGTCCATGATGAACTCCTTCTCCAAATTCCCTTCTCAATGCTACCAAATAAATCTTTTAAATATACTACTGGATTTAAGAAAGAAAACATTATATTCTAGTTGTATTACAAACAGAGATCACAAGTGAAATACAATATAAGGTCTATATCAAAACAAATTTCATGTAGATATTTTGTAAAATCTCCCCTTTCTATTCTAAATGGTTGTGTTCCAAACTAGTAGATTAATAAGCTACTTGTTGGTTGTTGCTGATTATATTCATGAAACTTTTCAGTATCCTAGGTAGAAGATTAACTTAATGAGAAGAACCCTAACAATCTCAACCTCACTGCCCTTCCCCCGATTATATATTTTCCTTGTCTCTCCAACACTAACATTACTCTCCTGCATGGACAGCTGTAGAATAGAACTGTGCTAACAACAGATTTTCTTAGTTAGGAGCTTCATGCTGCATTGGAGCCACAGTCTGTCAGTGGTTCTCCCAAAAGAAATGAGCATGTTATTGATCTGGTTTTTCTTCATCTTATCTTTCAAGTCTTGATTTGACTTGACTTCCAGTGAATCAGTTAAAAGCTTACTGCTGAGGCATGAGAATTCAGTGACAGCTTTCAGGGCTGTATCCCTTATGAAGATATTTGACTGTGTATAAGATACAGTGTAGTTGTCAGTCCTTAGCATACAGCTGACACCTTAAAATGATCCATAATCTGTTACAGGATTATTCATGTGAGAGATTCTACATGGACTTTACAGCTTGTTGGGATGTCAGTGTCAGTATTGTACTGTGTACATAGGTATCTAACTATAAGTTGTCTTGTGATTTACAGTACAAGGTCTAGAAAATGACAATTTCAGAGGGCAAATCTATTATAAAAATTAGGTTAAAACAAGTGGCATAATCATGTGCAGATGTGCTGTTTCCAAAGAGATAGTTTATAAACATGTGGCTGAGAAGACTTGGTGAAATACTCTCTCTAATGAGTTACCATCAATCAAATTTGAAATTTGGAGGAAAGTGTAATCTACTTACAATCTGTGAGTATGAATAAAGATGTATGAATATACTGTTACATCCACAAATAATATGGTGAAATAAATAAAATTTATTTTCATGTTCTTTCCTAGGAATAACTCTTGGAGTTAAAGTATTTTTAGAGGCTAGCTATTTAAACCCAACATAATACTCTGAATTAGTTTGTGTAGCAGAAGTGTAGAAATTCATGTTATATAGCTTTAGAGGTATTGGGTATATACCACAGGCAATGTAGTCTTTGGTATTATTTTATGAAGGGAGTGACTAGGGCTGCTACTAAGTCTTCTAGGTGGCTGAGGTTCCAGCAAAATTACTTTTGGAAGTCCCTGTCTATATAAACAATTTGATTCATAAAACCATTTTTACAAAATTATTTAGAACACGTGAGATAGTGAGTTATCAATGAAGATTAAGAATAGTGGGTAGAAAAGAGGCTCTTATGTATTTATCACCCAATGAGTACACATAAAGAGTCTTCATAGTGCCCTTGCATCATCTTTTCTCTATTATTAATTGTGCATTACTGGCTAATTTCATATCTCTGGCCAAGAAATAAAAGTAGCAATGTTGTTACCACTGGCAAGTTTCCTTAGAACCTTCCAGTATTCAATGATACAGATCTTTTTGACTCTGAAGATCCTTAATACAGTGTACTTAATGCTGTATACATCATTATTCATTGTTGTGGGTAGAGTTGTGTTCTCTTCCTCCAAAAAGATATATTCCAGTACTAACTCCCCATACCCATAATGTTGCAGGATCCTTGGGGTGTCCCTTTTCTTGCCAGAAACCTATGTGGCCAGTGGCATCTTTGCCCAAGTTTGGCTTGGGCTCCCTGGGTTAATTCTGCCCACTTAGCCTGACAGTCTGTGCTCAGCTCATGCTGCCAACCTGGATCTTACATCTGCCAAGGGCAGGTCAGGTATGGAGTGGTGAGGGGTATGTGAGTGAGCGAGCGTGTTGTCTGGCTATTTCACACAGTGAGTCATCCCAGCTGCTGCAGCAGAGTGGGCAGCACCAGGTGCTGACATGTGTGCTGGTTCTCTGCGAGCCTGTGGCGGGACCAGATGGACCACAAGCAGCTTCCCTGTCTGCCACCAGGGAATGAAGTGCTGCCTGGAAGCTTGGAGACTCCAGGAAGTTCAGGGTCCCAAAGAGGGAGTCACAGTCCTGGCTTGGTGAGCTCTCAGGTCTGGGCTTCCCAAAGGGCTTCAGTTCTTCTCTCCTTCTCTTTACCCACAAGGTGTTGAGCAAGGGACATGTTTCAGCCCTGTTTGTGGTATAGCTCTTTCATCCCTGCCATTGGGCAGGTCCCAAGTTCTTGTCTTCCATCTAAGAAAAATGTGGTATGTGGACAAGTGGAGGGTGAGCAAGGTGAAGAGGAGCTTTATTGAGTGACAGAATAGCTCAGAGGAGGCACTGGAGTAGACAATTCCTCTCTGCAGCTGTTTGTACCAACGTCTGCAGCTCTCAGCAGAGAGGAGGCCCTGGAGTGGGTAGCTTCTGTATGCAGCCATTCGGCCTAATGTCTACATCTCTCAGCAGAGAGGAGGCCCTAGGGTGGGTAGCTGGTCATCCCAACGTCCGCTCTGCTCTGGCTGATTCCAGGGATTTTGTGGGCCTTAGCAGGGAGGAAGTGCATATTGATTGGTCCACGGACAACCATGGGCAGGCCTTGAAAAGGCACCACAAGTTCCCACTCCAGTCAGTGGGTCTGACAGCCCGGCCCTCAGCCTTTAAGCCCACCCTGGCCTGAAGGTGGAGCTTCACAGGGGACCACTCCCTTCCACCCAAGAGCCTGTCTGCCTCCTGCTGCCATTCCTGGTGCCCAGGCTCTAGGTTCCAAGGGGCACCTGCAGGCCAGTACCAAGCTGCCCTCAGCCCCCCATCAGCTTCCCTTCTATGCTCATTGGGAACCAAAGTCCAGAGGGGGCTGAGTTGGCAGAGGAATTATGTATCAGCACTCCCCCAAGAGCATGCACACCCAGCTGGGCTGTGACAGTGCCCAGGCTCAGCCTCGACTTTGCTCTGAGATCAGAGTAAGCACCAATAGCAGGGAAAAGCCAGGCACTTGGAGCAGGCACTTCTGAACCTGCAAGGGCAAGGGGGGCCTTCCCAGGTTCCCTAGAGTGCAGGGATGCCTGTGTCCACAGTCACGGTTTGGGCAGCTGCAGCTGCTGTTGTGGGGAGGGTGGGGCTGGGTGCTCTTGACTGCTTTGTGAAGCAGTAGGCCCAAGTGTGCAGCCTCAATTTGGGTGGCTGCAGCTGTGCCCACGAGGGCAGGTCTCTTGCCTGCTCCTGCCCCCTGCCAAGAGCACAGGAAAGCCCAAGTCTTCAGCCACGAATTGGGTGGCTGCAGCTGCATCTGAGAGGGTGGGACACCTGCCTGCTTCATGGAGCAGGAGGCAGGATCCACAGCCACGACTTGGGTAGCTGCAGCTGCACCCAGGAGCTCCTGCCCTACCACCTTGGAAGGGTCAGGGCTCCCACTTGTCCCTGGCTCCCTCTGGCTCCACAGAGTGTGCAGCCCCAGCCACACCACCATGCTGCAGTGGTGTGATGGCAGCAGCCACTCCAGATGGGCTTTATTGGGCCTTATTTGAGACCTTATTTGTAAATAGTATTTGCAAATACAATCAAGTTAAGATGTGATCACACTGGATTAGAGTGAGCCCTAATGCAATGCCGCTTGTCCTTGTAAGAGGAGGGAAAGTTGGACACAGACACAGAAGAGAAGAGTGACATGTGAAGAAAGAGGCAGAGATTGTAGCAATGCGTCTACAATCCAAGTGACACCAAGGATTGCCAGTGACCGCCAGAAGCTAGAGAGAGGAATTGAACTCACTCTCCCTTCAGGTCTACAGAAGGAACCAACCTAACACTTTAATTTCAAACTTCTGGCCTCCAGAAGTGTAAGATAATAAATTTCTGTTGAAATAAGCCACCTAGTTTGTGATAATGTGTTATAGTATCACTATAAAACTAATGCACGTGAGGCTGCATCATCTAAAGTGTCACCGATGAATGCTGGCTTTTAATGATTTTCTCAAGACTAGCACTATGATTTATTAATGATGACCACAGATATAAATCCTGCCCATAGTATCCAGGAAACTTTGAATGATAATTCTTTTTTTTTTGGTCATACTAAATTTACCATTTAGAATTGTATAGTATAAATGTAGAATAGCCCATTGGCCAGCCACATCTTCTCTTGAACACTTTAGACTATAATCATTGAATTGCTACAACACCAATAGCACCCCTGCCTGCCTTTAGTGAGGAGGATAGGCAAACAGCCTGTAGGTGAAGCATGAGGAGGAGTCCAATTTGCACAGGGAATGCCAATCCTTCTTTGGGTCAGTCTGAAGCCAGACCCATGAGAGCACAGTATCATAATTGGAGATAATTGAGGATATCAATTGGAAGGCCCTTTTGATATTGCAGAGCAACAATCTTAAAAGCCCTTTCAGGAGATATATGTGTTCACCACTGGGTGGGTTGTAAACCACATGGCACAGAATCTGCAGAAGACATAGAGTGAACACTATAAGCTCCAGCAATGGAAGCTGCACAAGATAAGGGACCTGTTTATCCACAGGTGCTATAGACTAAAAGTGGTCCATACCATTGGCAAAGAGAAGGCAAGAGCCAAGACATGTGGCTCAAGCTCAAGGGTGAAAGAAACCTATTTATTTTGGGGCTTGTATCATTCCAGATACAAGAGGATTCACTCCAAATTGTACACCACACTCAGGCATGGGACTAAGGTAGGAAACCTGCTTGCCGCTTCCCCTAAACAGACCTAAGAGAGATCCTGAAGTAATGTTGTATGAAATGTTTTATTGTGAATATTAGCTAGTCTATACTTATGTTTTTCTCATGCTAACACATAAGACGCAGCTCAAAGGTCTAAAAAGAAACTGTACTCTCAACCTCAAGGGTAAAACTTTTTGGTCTCAGTATAAGTAATCCCAAGAAACTGGATCTGTCATTTATAACAGCAAATTGTATAAAGGCACTGTTCCTCTTTTCCTTGCCAAATGTAAACCAGGTCCAGGTTGTTACTGGCACTAGAACCTTGAAGAAAAGTTATGTTGATTAAGATGTTGACAATTTGGGAAGCAGAACAGAAAGATGGAAAGAACTTATGTTTTAAATGATGAAGTTGGACTTCTGAGTCAATCAGTAGGAAGTCTGAACCAGCTCTGGATTTCCAACTTCTCATTTATTCCAACTGAGTAGGGTTTGGGCAGTACAAATATATCCTAATTGATAACAGCATGAAGAGGATTTGGAGAAGAATATCCTTTGGGACAAGAAGACCAGGTAAAAGTCTATTGTTTGAATTAACGGTTTGGATTATAGTAATGGAACTATGCTATTGGAGAAATTAAACCTAATATGTCATAAAACAACAAAAATATAGTAACTGCTATTTATAGAGCATTTGTTCTGTGTAGGTCACTGTGTCCGACACTTTCCATATTTTTCCTTAATTATTACTCACTGAAATACTGCCTCACAGACATTTTATCGCATTTTATAGATTAGGAATCTAAGGCCTAGTGAGTTTAAGTAAATTGCAAAAACCATGTACCTAATAACTGGGAGATCTCAAATTTAATCTTAAATCTATTTGGTTCTAAAGACCCTGATGTATCCATTGTGGAATTTTTTGAAGAATGACATAGTGAAAACTCACAGATTAGTTTTGAAAACATGGCTAATTAAATCAAATATTTCAAATATAATATTTTGTATTTTTATTCTCGTATTTTTATTGCCAGTCTCATAATCTATAGCAAACACATCTACTTAGCACCACTTGAGAGCAAGATCATAAACTTATTTGTCCATTTGTTCCTTCATATTTCTACTCCAATCCTGTTGGGTTAGAAAACAGACAATGAAAATATCTTTCATCTTCCAAATAAAACTGAACGTTCCAATACTACTTACTAAAAGTATAGATGTCCTGAATTATGAAGAAATTACGGGCTGAAGCAACTGAACTTCAGATTAGTTGAAGTTCAGTTGATTAAGATGTTGACAATTTGGGAAGCAGAACAGAAAGATGGAAAGAACTTATGTTTTAAATGATGAAGTTGGACTTCTGAGTCAATCAGTAGGAAGTCTGAACCAGCTCTGGATTTCCAACTTCTCATTTATTCCAACTGAGTAGGGTTTGGGCAGTACAAATATATCCTAATTGATAACAGCATGAAGAGGATTTGGAGAAGAATATCCTTTGGGACAAGGAGACCAGGTAAAAGTCTAACATGTTTTTTTCCTTATCAGTCTCGTTTGGGCTTTTGTGAAATGCTTCTCCTGCTGCTACTGTGTGTGTGTGTGTGTGTGTGTGTGTGTGTGTGTGTTTAAGAGAGAGACAGAGAGAAAGACACAGATTGATTTACCTAAAGAGTTATCTGTTGCAGCAGAGAGCATCTATCATTGCACTAAACAGGTGAGACACACTGGCTTCTTGACATTCTTGCATTGGTTGCTAAATCACAATATATTCTGAGCCCTGCAGTCTACTCACACTACTCTTTCCACATAAATTGATGGCATTGTCTTCCATGTCCTGGGACATGAGACTCAAGGATTAAAGATGTGACTCTGACTCCAAGACTTTAATTCACACTCTGTACACCTACTTCCTCCAAATTCAGAAAGAACTGTTTGCCCTGTTCTCTGTAAAATATGGCATATATATTTCTGTAGAAATATAACCCACCAGCAAGCACCCTGTTTTCTGTTTTTATCTAGAGCAAGAGTTGGCAAATATTTTGTAAAGATCCAGATGTTAAATATTTTAGGCTTTATGGGCCAGATGTTCTCTGTCATGACTATTCAACTCTGCCATTGTGGTGTGAAGGCAGCCATAGATAATATAAACTGATGTGGGTATGTTCTAATAAAACTTTATTTACAAAAACAGGTGGCTGATGAAATTGCCCCATGGGTTATAATCTGCTAACTCCTGATTTGGTGCATCACTATTCATCTTCTTTTGCCACAAATATATTCAGTTTTAAATTATCCTGAAATAAATTATAATATAAAAATACAGGAAATACAATTATCCTGAACATATATACATGTAATTTTTCTATTGCCTAACTTTTCAAACTGACTTTCAACCCCTTACAATCTATTTTTAGCATAATCTCTCTATCCCTTCCCTATATACACACAGACACACACAAAAACACACCTCAAGCTCACACTAATTGCTTTCTCAACCCAGTCTAGTTGCACCACCACCCAACAATAACATAAGTTTCATTTTATGTCTCTATGTCCTTCTTCCTATAGTTTCTATTGTCTGAAATGCCTGTCTGGAGTTTCCCTACCCAAATGCTGCTTATGTTTCAAAATCTAAATGTATAGACCTAGGGCAAACATGAAAATTGATAGTTTTCTTGAGTACCCTAATCCTTAATAGATTTTTCTCAACTAAATCTTATGGCATTTATGTTTTGTGGCAAGTTATTTATTCTGTGTGTCTGTGTGTGTGTGTGGGGGGGTGGGGTGGGTAGGAATTCAGAAGTGAATAAAAAGTACAAAGCCCTCACCTATGTGGTGTTTACATTTTGGTGCGGAGACAATCCTTTGAGCATTTCTTTCCATATGATCTTTTGCTTTTATTAAATAATGTTGTGCTGCACAGCATTCCTTCTTACTAATATTATAATGTACCAGAGAGTTTCCTGATAGGTGAAAATGTGGAAGTTCCTGAAGGGAGGCATGCCTGGAGAGGATCTGGAAGTCCCATGCTCTTTCCCACACAACCTTGCCCTGTGCATCTCTTTTTCTGTATCAAACACTGCTCCCCACTAAAACGAACCAGGGCTCCATGGAGAAATGGCGGATACTAGGACTGGGGAAGTGCAAGTACAAGAGAACTTGGAACATCATGAGTGCCAGAGAATTAGGAAGTGTGCAAAGAATGTAGGGATTTTTTTAAAGACAGAAAAGCCAACATTAATGGGTTTCCAGCAGCCAAATATGGGAGAATTTGAGCATCAAAACAACTAATGATAGTAACAAATTATAATTCATTCAGTAACATGAGAATCCGGAAGTCCATGCATCTAAGTTAATGAATTAATGAATCATATGATAATGGCAAATTCTTCCACACAGTGGAATGCCAGCTAACAGCTATAAGGATTTGGTACATTTGAACATCACTGTTTGGCAGTCACTATACAATTAATTCCAGCAACATTAAGGTGTGCTAAAATGAGTGGGTGAAAGGGTTGAATAGGAGGGTTTTAAATGGTTTCAAAGTATCTCCCACCAAAACATTTATTAAACACAAAGGAACAAAAAAGGAAATTTACAGAAAAGGAAAAAAACCTTGATGTATCATCTTTATAAAGTGGACATAGTCATTACCGTCAGTCGTGGAACGGAGAAATATCAGGTGCCACCCAGAGATTGCAAGGGAAAGCACATAGCAAATTTGATATGCATTCCCTGGGTCTAATCATAAAGAAATATTGAACAAATCCAAATTGAGGGATGTTTTACAAAATGACTGGATTATGTAGGGGTGCCTAAAGATCTCAGCCAGCCATTATAGTTCTTCAGTGGGATCTTTGGCTGGGTCTAGGAACCAAACTGACACAAACCAGATTAACAAGGAAAAAAGCATACAAGTTTTCTTAATTTTACATGGAGATCCTCATGAGAGAGGGAAGACCTGAAGTAATAGCCAAAGCAGGAAGCTTTAGTTCTTTTTAAACAAAGAATGATAAATCTTGTGAAAAAAATGATAAAAACATTGGAGTCTGGACTAGTTGTTGTGAATTCTAGGGAAGTAACTAGGAGCTACACAGAGGGGTATAAAGCCAAGTAGAAGATAAGGTTTATTTACTACTTTTATTTATATATTAAAATCCATTGCAGCATCACTTCTCAATCACTGGTAATACAGGTTGTGTTCTTGTGTTGGTGAGGGAAGGCGGCATTCTCACAGGAATTCTAATGGCTTGCTATAGATGAGAAAGGGAAGTTCAGATAAGTCTCTCTGATACTGATGCTTCTCAAGTGCTTTCAGCTCAAAATAATCCATATGCTAGGTTGGGGCAATTGAGGGTATTTCATCCTTAACTTCTTCAGCAATAATCTTCAAAAATACTAAAGTACTTAAAAATCAAAGAAAGATCAAGGGACTGACTTAGATGGAAAGTGATTGGAGAGACAAGATACCCAGGTACAATGTATGATCCTGAACTGGAACCTTTCCTCCAAAGGCTGTTCCTGGGACAGTTGGTGAAAAGTGAGTAGAGACTCTAGCTAAATGATATACAGGAGTTCTATGAACTATTCTTGCAACTTTTCTAAAAGTTAAAGCTATTTTACATTAAAATCTTGCAATAGTGGGAGGACTGAGCTACCTGTTTCAATGAAGAACAGAGTCTTCTCCTTCCTGCATTGAGAGGTTAGGAGGGTCCTCCCATACATTCCTGCCATTGGGCAATATGTAAAAAGTAATTATTTTCAGACACTGTGAAATAGCATAGTATAAAAGGGAAAAAAAGATCCACCAACATTACTATTGTTATATACTCAAAGAAAATGAAGCTGTGTCAAAGAGATCTGCACCCCATGTTCACCGCAGCACTATTCACAATAGCCAAGATATGAAATCAACCTATGTGCCCACCCATAGATGAATCCATGAAGAAAATGTGGTATGCATACACAGGGGAATACTATTCAGCCATAAAAAGAATGAAATATCACTATTTGCAACAACGTGGATGAACCTGGAGGACATTATGTTAAAGGAAATAAGCCAGGCACAGGAAGACAAATACCCACATGATCTCACTCATATACGGAATCTAAAACACATGATTTCATGAAAATAGAGAGTAGAATAGTGGTTAGCAGAGGGTGGGGAGGGGAGAGGAGAGGGAGGTGGGGGAAAGATTTGTCAATGGGTACAAATTTACAAGTAGAGAGAAGAAATAAGTTTTGGTGTTCTAGTACACATTAGGGAAACTATGGTTAACACTGTTGTGTATTTCAAAATAGCCAGAGGAGAGGATTTTATATGTTCTTACCACAAATAAATGCTAAATATATGAAGTGCGGAATATGCATGATGCCCAGATTTGATCATTATACAATATATACATGTATTGAAACATCACATTGAACCCCATAAATGTGTACAATTACTTTGTCAACTAAAAAAAAAATAAATATTTTTTAAAACTAGTATAATATACATAAAGATAGAGATCTATATTATGTTTTGCACACATCTTACAAAATAAGCAATAGTCAAGTGTGTGTTTGTTTTTTGCCATCTTTCAAAAGTAAAATTCTGAATTAAAAGGTGAAGTTTTGTTTTAAATTACCTTCATTTTTTAAATGTTATATATTGTAATTTATTACATTTTCCCAGTTTTTGTTTTATTAATAAGAGTAGTGAATCTTGTAACTGCAAATTACTTTTTACATTTCTCAACAAGTAGAGTTTCACAAAAGAGTAAAGAAAATTTTAACAGATTGAGTGAATGGAAGGAAGAGAGAAAAGACAGTTGGGCTCATCTCTGCTTTAACTTTTGGTTTTCTGATTTTTTTAAAAAGTCTTTTCTTGATGAAACTATTGTTAATTAAAAAAGAGATAGAATGATGTAGAATGATAAGAGAAAAGCACTTCTTTTTTCTTCCTTTCCTGTTTACATGCATATGACAAAACTATTTAAGGAGAAAATATGCAACCTTAGGTCTAATGTGGGTCACTTACAAAATGATCCACTATTTTTTCTTTAACCCATAGTTGTCTAATTGTCAAATTAGTTTTTTTAAAAAAATTTCTAAGTCAAGTGGCAAAATGTGTCAGAATTATATACAGATCAAATAGGGCACAACTCTGGGCTCTGAGTCACCTGAATTAAACATTGTTACCAAGGTACATCTCTCACTCTGTCTTATAATTATTTTCACATGCGTCTACTTCCTAATTTGCCTTCACTGTAACGATGATGGCATGAGTCCAATATTTAATTAAGACCTATCTCCTATTAACTAATGGTTAAATTTGATACCTTATTGCTGTATCCTAACAGGGTTGAGAGTATGTGAAAGTTTTGGCTGAGATCCAGTCATCACAGCTGTTCTTATATAATCACTGCTTTGAGAAAACTGTTTTCTCCACCTCTAAATACGCTATTTTCAAATGTAAATTTGTGATGAGAACTTCTCTTATTCTCTTTTACACAAAAATCCTTTCCCTTTGGGGAAATCTTTAACATAGGCTACTGACTGTTTTTCACAACTATTACTCATCTGTGATATCATCATAAAGTAAATCACCAGAAACTATCTAATCTCAAGTGTCACAGGAAGAGTTGTACTTTATTGTTAGGAAGTTAAGGTGGAGAAGTTTCTAGAACAAAGAAACAATATGAATATAAAATATATTGAAATAAACATGTTAATTTCATGTCTCTTTCTATTGTTTTATTTTCACTCTCAAAGAAGAAGCAAACATTGGAATAGAAAGCAAACCTGTGTTATTCTGAACGTTTTTTCTTTTAAAAATGAATAGTTTGCACTTCTTTATATGTTAGAAAGAAAGTGCCTCTTTTTATTCATAATGTGCTTCAACTGACTGCATTTTCTAATTCTGGATATTATGAACATTCAGAAACACTATACACAGAATTGTATTCTACAGTCCTGGAGTGGAGGTGTGAAAAAAGAAGAGTTTCTTTTGGAGTGACACTTAAAAACACTGAAATAAACACTGGGTCAAAGTCTGACATTATACACCTGGTTTAAATATAGCTTTTCATTGGGCGTAAGTTAGGTTTTATAATAGATTAAAAATACTTATATAATTATGATTGGCATTTATGGTATTGTGATTATGTAAACTCTAAACTCCAGAAAAAAAAAAAAAGGTGTATGTGACACAATTTTGTATTCTAGCCCTGCTAAGTTCACCTCTGTATGATGAACCAAACTGCTTATAAAAGGATACTGTAATGGAAGAATTGCAATTATGACACTAGCACCAAAATTTCTCATTTCATCCATTATATCTCATTTTGTCTTGGACCACACTAATGAGTCTTGATTAACTCTGTCTCTTATTCTGCCTAGGAAGTCCTACTTGGCATATCAATTGTCTTCTCTGCAATTTTTCAATTTTCAAGTTTGTTCCCTCAAATTTGAATGATGTCTAATTATACCACTCCTGGCTGTCCACTGGCTGCTAAACGGAGATTAAAAACCCTTTTATAGAGGATCACAGCAGCCGCCACAGCACTCCATATCACAACTCAACATGTGTGTAGTGTTGAGGTGTAATATTATTGATCATATAGAGATCTAGTAATAACATATAACTAACAGTGAACTTGGAGGGTGCAAAAATTTATTTAATTTTTTAAAATAAGTGTACTGTAAATGACAATATCACTCTGCCCTGGCTTCCATGTAAAATTTTCTTCTCTACTGATTCAATTTACATACATCACTTCAACCAGTATCCCAATTCCGGTCCCTTTTATAGTTGGCTATCTATAAACAATGGTATTAGGAATGTTAAAGAATATCTTTGTTTCCTTATTTGTTATGTAAAAGTCTAAACACAAAGGGTTTTGAACAAGGGTGGCTTCACACGTGTGAGGTCTGTACAGTTGTCAATGGCCCCACACTCAGAAGTACTTGTGCTTTGTTTAATGCTCTGCTGTCTTTGTCTTGAAATTCTTAATAATTTTAGACAATTCATTTTTTCACTGGTCTTAAATTATGTAGCCAGTCTTCTTTTGACATTTGGCAAAAGTGATTAAAAAAATCTGATCATAGGTGACTTGGGATATTAATTTGGGAGACAGGAACTCTCAGGATAAAGGGGAAATTTTAATTCAATAAGTATTTATTAAAGGTCCACTCTTTGCAGGCACTGCTCTAGATACTGGAGATATGGTAGTAGGGAAAGGCAAAATTCTTTTATCATGGAGCTTATGGTTTAGAGAGAAGATAGAGAAGTAAATTTAGAGACTACTATAAAGTATGCCAGAGGACAAAAACTGTAGAGAAAAATGCAGAATTAGGAGACACACACACACACACACACACAAAGGAGAGTGGGGAAGAGAGAGAGAGAGAAAGGAGAGGAGAGACTGCCCACCAGGACAGAGATGGGATAGGACTATAGCATCAGTCTTCCTCTGCTGAAATTATCTTTGCCTTCGGACAAACTCACTCCCCTGCCCGAACTTTTAATATGAAAAGAGATGCTTACTTTATCCTCTGGGTGGAAAAAATGGAATTGGTGTGAGTTTTTATTAAGAAGATGTTAAAATTTGTAGTTAGTGAAAATATTTCTCTTGCCCAGAGCAAATTCTTTACTGTGGCAAATGGTGAGCGTGGGGGCCAAGGAGGGGGCGAGGGCATAGCTAATGTACTCCTCTTATTTATTTTTTCCTTTTATTTTTGATTGACACATAACAATTGTGCATATTTATGGAATATAGATTGATATTTCCACATGTGTATACAATTATAATGATCAAATGAGGGTAATTAGCATATCCATTACCTCAAACATGTACTGTTTTGTGGACTGGACGTTCAAAATTCTGTCTTCCAGACTTTTGAAAATATATAATAAACTATGGGTAATCATATTCAACCTATAGTGTGGTAAAACACAAGAACTCATTCTGGTCATCTAGCTGTAGCTTTGTATCTGTTAACAAATATTTCCTAATCTTTCCCACCCTCTCCCTTTCCTAGCTTCTAATAATCACAATTCTACTCTCTACTATCATGAGTTTAATTTTTTAAAATTTAGCTTTCACGTATGTGCGCAAACATGTGATATTTATCTTTCTGTTCCTGACTTATTTCCCTTAATATACTCCAGATCTAGCCATGTTGCTGCAAATGACAGGATTCATTCATTTATATGTATACATAACACATTTTTTATCCATCTCTCCGTTGATGGACATTTTAGTTGATTCCATGTCTTAGCCAGTTGTGCATGGTGCTGCAATAAACATGGTGATGCAGGTATACCTTTGATATACTGATTTCCTTTCCTTTGGATAAATACCTAGTAGTAGACTTGCTGGGTCATATGGTGGTTCTGTTTTTAGTTTTCTGAGAAATCTTCTTGCTTTGTCCATAATGGCTGTGCTAATTTATATTCCCATCAACATTGCACAAGAGTTCCCTTTTCTCCACATCCTCCCCAGCATTTGTTATTTTTTGTCTTTTTGATAATAGCCATTCTAACTTTTTGATAAGTCATTCTAACTAATCCAGTTAAAATATATTTGTTATCTCATTGTGGTTTTTATTTGCATTTCAGTGATGATTAATAATGTTGAGCATTTTTCATATGCCTATTGACCATTTGCATATCTCCTTTTGAGAAATATCTGTTCAGTTCCTTTACCCACTTTTTAATTACATTATTCAGTTTTTTTTCATTTTTGTTTTGTTTCCTGCTGTTGAGTTTTTTGCAGATGTTACATATAAGTCTGTTGTTAAATGAGTACTTTGCAATTTTTTTCTCATTCTACAGGTTGTCTTTTCATTTTGTTGATTGTTTTCTTTTCTGTAAAGAGTGTTTTAGTTTAATTTAATTCCATTTGTCAGAATTTGGGGGAATTGCCCGTGCTTTTGAAGTGTTAGCCATAAAATCTTTGCCTAAACCAGTGTCCTGAGCATTTCCCGTTTCCTTTCAGTAATTTTATAGTTTCATGTTTCAGTCTTTAATCCATTTTGAGTTGAATTTTGTGTTTGAGGAGAGATAGGCATCTAGCTTTATTCTTCTGCATGTGGATGTCCATTTTTCCAAGGACCATTTATTGAAGAGGGTCTCATTTTCTCAGTGTATATTCTTAGCACCTTTGTCAAAAATCATTTGGTTGTAAGTGTAAATTTGGTGAATTTACTTCGGAGGCAATTTTCTTATTTCTGCCAGCTAAATTGTTTTTGTCTTAAGAAAACACAACTAGATAGCTGATGGGTCTTGGTGTTTGTAACAGGTACCAGACACCTTTTCAAATAAATTTGAAGATTTAGAAGAGCATGTGAGGGTCATATGCCTAAGATAATCAATTCCCATACTATTTGCCATTTCCAAAAATAATATGTAATAGAACATAGTCTTAAAGTGTTATGTATTCTACATTTCAAATGTTACTTCTCTTAAGAATGCATTTTTATTTGCACAGATCCAATGTGTGTGTGTGTGTGTGTGTGTGTGTGAATTTAATGGACAAGTCATGAATTTGGGCCATGATGAAAGAATGCGGTTGTCATGAGCAATAATCTATTTACAATGCCTTCTAATTATCATAGCATCTTTCCAATGATAAACTAAAGTTCCTTCAAAGGCACTATAAATGGAATTTCAAGCATTCTTACAATGTATGCAAATAATGTATGACCACTATGCTTTAAGAGCTCATCATATAGACTCTGGAAAGTGAATTAAATTTAATACAATTATTAGTAAATGAGTAGATTAGTTGCTAAATCTGTGGGTCTTCAAAAGGTTGAACTGCTTTATTTTTATAATAAACTTCATTATGTTTATTTAGCTTAGGATCCTTAAAGTTTATAAACAGAATTAAATTTTATAAAAGTACACATCACCAATCAGTGACTAAATTCTGTAAGGTTAAAAAATAGATTCATATAAGCAGCATCATCAGGAAAAATAGTTATCTTTACTTAAACACTAACAGTCTTCATTAAACACTATTGTTTTTGGCTGGACATGTTACCACTCTAATAATGTATTAACCAGATACAATCACTACTGTGTATTACCATAGTTGTTTTATGTAGATTATATGCCCTCATTTCTGCAATCAATCTTCTATATATTTCCTGGATCACATTCGGTTTCTTGTTTTGTCTTGTGATAAAAATATACACTTGATTTTTATTTTTCAATCTCTACTTTTCTTTTACATTTTTTGAACATATTTTCAGCAAGATTTGAAGGAAAGTACATTAATTTGTAGTTTTATTTATTCTGGATGGTTTATATTCCTATTAGCCAAGTAGTTTCCAAGATGTGCTATTCCTACCATCTGTTCCAATAACTGAGGGAGAATTTTTAATGGCTAATGATGCATGCGTGTTAGTATCTCTTTAAGATATTTTGTCACGTTGATAGGCTCGGTGGTGCTAACAGAATCATCTAGCTATTGGAATTTAGTTTTAAAATCTAAGAGTAATAGAAATAAATCTGCAAAAGCTTGAAGAAATGTTTTGGGTTTTAATTGAATTGCACACATCGTGTTAAATTATCTTCACATATCTTATTATTATTATTATTTCTTTTAATTCCAGCTGTAGAATACTATAGATGAACACTGGGGCTATTTTCTAGAATCAGTAGTAGTATTAATGCATTTGTAGAACATATATCATTTTCACGGTGTCTGAGTAACTTCTGTAAGTCTATACTACTACTTCATGTGGAAAAATTAGAACATATTGCATATGTTGCTTACACTGAAGTCTTCAAGCTTCCCAACAGCCTGAACTAATGAAAATGTTGTGTAGGACGGTTATTACCTTTGTAAATATAGAGTACTTTTTGTTAAAATTCAGAAGCATCCAGTAAGTAATGAATATTACAAAGTAAAGCAAATTAACAAATTCAAATCACTAGTAACACCAATTTAAAGGTAGAGATATGAAAGTTAAAATAATGTTATTTTATTTGTTCTGACTCTAAGTGTCCATAGTCTTAGAACTAAATTGATAAACAAAAACAAGAAAAAAGTATGGCAAATGGAGAGAAAAATGATAAATTGGCTGGGCATGGTGCCTCACACCTGTAATCCCAACACTTTGGGAGGCCAACGTGGGCGGATCACCTGAGGTCGGGAATTTGAGACCAGCCTGACCAACATGGAGAAACCCCGTCTCTACTAAAACTACAAAAATTAGCTGGGCATGGTGGCAGGCGCCTGTAATCCCCACTACCCAGGAGGCTGAGGCAGGAGAATCACTTAAACCCAGGTGGTGGAGGTTACAGTGAGCCAAGATCGCGCGATTGCCCTCCCACCTGGGTGACAAGAGCAAAACTCCCAGTCAAAAAAAAAAAAAGAAAAAAAGAAAAATGATAAATTGTTTGCAACGTTAATAAAACCATTGAAAACACAACTTTTCTGCCCAGGTATATCATGAATTAGTTATAAATAACTTATATACTTCACTCATATTTAAAAGATCAGTTTTTCCCATGTGGTGACACCCATGGCTAACTGGCCTTCCCCATAGCTCTCACTGCAAGTGTGACTCTCATACAGTGAGGAAAATAAGGGCTTCTGGCTGGGACTCTGTCCCTAAAAATAAATGGCTGTAGCTTTTTATCAAAATTCAGAGACTGTTCAGAACATGGTTGTGATAAATAGTATACTTGCTTTTCTTCAAATTGCTTTAGTACCCTATAAATGCACATTAAAAGACGTACCAGTCTGCCTCAAAACAAACAAATAAACAAGTTATAATAACAACAACCACAACAATAACATTTATAGGGTCAAAATATCCAGAACAGAATAACTGATAACAAGGCTGAGTGTTATTGTGCCATCTTCTACTGTCTACTCAATGCCATGCACCATCTTGAGGGTGGGAATATAACGGTAAGCAGACATGTCTTCCACCATCTGCACCATACTTATAACGCAGAGTGGAAATATATCTTACAGTCGCAGGGAAATGCATATTTTAAAATTTAGATATGACAACAAAACACGGGGCTCTTAAGGAATGGAAATAATTTCAGTGATAGTTACTGGATTATGGAGGGAAAATTATACTAGCTTGAGAGCCAAAGTTGGAAAGGAAAACAGGAACCAAACCATGAGGGGACATGTAAGTCAGGTTTCAGAGTATAGACTTTCTCCTTAAAGGAAAGGGAAGCCTTTGAAAAGTTGCAAACAGAGAAGTGCTATAATCAGACGTTTGTCTCCCACGTAAGGCAACTGGGTAAACATTAATATCATTCACTTAAAGAGAGATCAGGCTGGGAGTGGTGGCACACACCAGTAATCCCAGCACTTTGGGAGACTGAGGCAGCAAGATCATTTGAGGCCAATAGTTTGAGACAAGCCTGGGTAACACAGTGAGGCCTCATCTCTACAAAAAAATGTAAAAACAAAAGAGGGATCACTGGAAAAGAGGCAGGTTTGAGACATAATGCATTTAAATGATCAAACATCGAGTGTGATATGTCTATGACTCAAGGGTACATGTCAAATAGGCAATTCAACCTATATATTTAGCAAGCAAGATAGTTGTGTGGTGTGAAATATAGTTTTGTAGCTTTATAGAAGTAAAATTATACTTTAAGATGGAATAAGGGAGCAAAAGAAACAAATGCTACTAAAATGGCACTTGTATGCAAAGAGAAAGGGAAGAAAATATTCAGGTAATTTAGGGTGAATTTGTTCAATGATTCTGGATATTTCCGGCTCAGAGAAATTATGGGGGCAGAAAACTGATAGTAATAACTTAAGGATAAAAAGGAGAGATGACTTATTAGTGTATTTCAAAACATTTAACTTTTTTGTGGAAGAGAGAAAGAACCAAGTGTAATGATGGTTGAGTTAATAAAAGCTTCTTTGAGAGAAAAAGTTTTAATGTTCAAATACTGATGGTCATCAGCCAGGATATGTGTTTTTCTTTCTTTTCCTCCTTCTTTGTCTAAATAAAACAACCTTGAGGAAACCTGAAAGGACAGTGTAAGTTTTTGGGTACATATGTGTTAGAAAAATTGTTGAGTTTTTGTTCTAATTTTAGTTTGGTCTAGGAAAAAAGAGAAACTTTGATCAGATGCAAAGGGTACTTTCCAAAGAAAAGTGAAGCAGTTTCCTAATTTCAGGACACTTTGAGGAGAAGTAAAGGACAATTAACTTTACTTTGAGATTCTTAATGTCAGGACAACCGGACCTCTGGCAATTTTTGCCGTCCAACATTACGGAACATCCCTTCCTTTGTTGTTATATTGTCCCTGATCTCTCAATTTGTACTAGGGAATTTTAATAAAGTCGTCCCAGTTAGTCAATTCTTGCCAGTTCTACGTCTGCCACTCCCTGAGATAAAACCTTGTGGATCCCAGAAAAGACTGTCCTGCCAATGCTGGGACAGAAAGAGAGAAAATGAAAGGGAGAAGACAGGGGAAGGAATGTCAAGTAATTCTAAGTCAGAATTTGGAAACTGTAAGTCTCATGATATGAGTATGTGCCCCCTCTGCCAATTTTCCTGTTATATATGAAAATATAAAAATTTTAGGTTTAAAGCATATTAATATAAAGAGTATATGTCTTCTTTAAAGAAAGATCAGAAAGGCTGATCATTCACTCTTTTCCCCAGGAAAGGTATTGGGTTTCTGATTTACATGAATAAAAAATATTGGCCTAAATAGTTAAATATATGTAACCAATTTGATTCAAATAATTAAGATTCCATAACAGCACCAAAAACCTTAGTCTGTAGCCTACTAAAAATGTTTAGAAATGTAAATTGAAGATGATAATATGGAACAGTCCTGTTGATACAACTCTTTTTAATTACAAAAGTATGCAAAACCATATAAAATTTAAGAATTGTATAGAAGATATTAAAAAATTTGCCAAGGAAAGAAACTTTGAGGGAGTTGATGTTCTAACAGGCATTGACAATTATTTTCATCTTATAAAGAGGCAGGTAGTAGATATTTTAGGCTTTGCGGGGCATAACCACTCAGTTCTGCTACAGTAGCTTGAAAGCAGGCAGACATAAAAGAACGGGAATGGACATGTCCTAAAAAACTTTATTACAAACAGGCTGAAGGCTGCATTTGGCCCAAGGGTCATAGGTTGTGACTCCTACACTACCTGCTAAAATTCATGTGATGAATATTCTCCCTAAATAAAAGTTATATGGAACAACATTTTTCATTTGTATATGTCAGCATCATTGGTTTTTGTGGGAACTCCAGCTGTCATAAACCCACTGTGAGACAAATGATCAAGGAGGACTTCCTGTTCAGAGATAGTGCCATTGGCAGTGACTCAGCATCTGCAGTCTGGAGTAAGAAGCCCATATGGAACTCCTTTCCATTTATTTTTTACTATTTGTCTCTGCAATTTGAGGCTGACTCTTCATTTCACCATAACTGTTCATCTTGGTTCTTTTCTTGAGACGGAGTCTCACTTTGTCGCCAGGCTGGAGTGCAGTGGCATGATCTCGGCTCACTGCAACCTCTGCCTCCTGGGTTCAAGCGATTCTCCTGCCTCAGCCTCCCAAGTAGCTGGGATTACAGGCGCATGCCACCATGCCTGGCTAATTTTTGTATTTTTAGTAGAGATGGGGTTTCACCATGTTGGCCAAGATGATCTTGATCTCTTGACCTTGTGATCCGCCTCCCTCGGCCCCCCAAAGTGCTGGGATTAGAGGTGTGAGCCACTGCACCTGGCCAACTATTCATCTTCATATGGCCAAAACCCATACAGATTTGCCAACAAAATTGCTATCAGGGCTTAATTTCTGGCTGTTCTAAAACCCTGGGCCTAGGACTTTTCCTTTCCTTTTGTTCACTAAGATATTCGGTTCTTTCTCTCATAATGGCCTTCTCGACTGCATTTCCATGCCATGGTCTTAGCTCCACCTTTTCTTGAGTCTTCTCTAAAACAACAGAAATACTTCCTGGCCAGTTTTCATATCTCAAGTCATGCATCTGTTCAGTCATTTTTCATACTTCTGTAAACCCCAAATAAAATCCTAAGCCTCCCAAACAACTGAAAGTACCCCCTCTGTGCCAAGGGCATTCCAAAGTAAACCTGAAAATCTAGTTCAGACCATGATGGAAAGATAGGGTTGGACATGCCTCATTATACCCTCCTCTCTTTGGAATTCAAGCACAGCTAACTAGCCTTAACATTAAAGCAGATCTTCAGACTGACAAAATAGACTTTGTGTAGCAATAAGACACCAAATTCTAGCCTGACTCTAGTGTAATATCACATGACAGATAGCAGGCACTGGAAGAAATTATTTTACCCAAAAATATATTTCTTTGACATATTTTGAAATGACCCTGTAAAGAGTGGAGAATATACCTTTTTTTTTTTTTTTTTTTTTTTTAGAGAATCCCCTTTCCTTTCAAGGTCTTTTTCCTGATCCAAGAGAGAATTAACTGAGTCTGGCATCTTTTTAGGTTTGATAAGAGCTCTGAAGCCTGCCATCTGGAGGTTTTATCTGCATGATAAAGGGGTCTCCACAACCCCTTATCTTAATCTGGAAATTCCTTTCTATTGCTTCCAAGTCTTTAGATAATAACTCTTTCAAGCAATTGTCAATCAGAAAATCTCTGAATCCACCTATGACTTGGAAGCCCCCACTTTGAGTTGTTGCACCTTTCTGTACCAAACCAATATACCATCTTACATGTATTGATTGATGACTTATATCTCGCTAAAATGTATAAAACCAAACTGTAGACTGACCATCCTGGGCACATGTTGGGACTGTGTCACAGGACATTGTCACTCATATTTGGCTTGGAATAAGTCTCTGTGAATATTTCACAGAGTTTGACTCTTTGCATCGACATTTCTACCTGACATGTGATTCCAAAAGGCAATCCTGATTGCAACTAGGAAAACCAGTTGCTTAGCATGGACACACACCAACTCTTAGTGCAGCAGACACAGGGACTGTGTGCAGGTTTACATATGCAGAATAAAGTGGAAACCAACTATTACCTGCCTCAAACCACTGTGAGTTAGACTCATCCAGAATTTGTAAAGTCCAAAGACAGAGCAGCCCCTTCAGTTACTGTAACTGCTGTATCCTGACCACCAGTTTCTGAAGGAATGCAGTCACTCAGGCATACAAAGAGCCTCCAACTGTTGAATAACAGGACGGCATAAAAAGATTCAATCCAGAGACATGGCTATGGAGGGGGAAGGTGGGAGATTAACTAGTCACATCTAGGAATAAACCTGCTAACTCATCTGGGTAGTGTAAATAACAGACCTGGGTAGAATTACCAGCTGAAAATTACATTTGAAATATACAGATAGTAAAACATTTTCTTGCTGGTTACTCCCAGACAAAATTTTATGCCTGCCTCATATAGTGTCCAGATGTCTCAAAATCTAAATTAAATTAGCACAGTTGCTTTGAAAAAAAAAAAAAGAACTTAATATGTACATTTTCCTTCCTTTCTACTCAGCCTAATTTTGGTACTTTGTTGAGATATTTCTTCTGCATACATAAGGATTAGAGTTCCCACTGTATTGAAAGAAAGCAAGATAAAATAACTATGTACTGTTTTTCTCATTTTTCAGTTGCAGTTACATAAGTTTTTAACAGACTGGTAGTTTGCTGAGGGTCTTCACTTGACCATAGACTTTTAGAAATCTGGTTACTTAAGAAAAAATGATTCAGTTCTTACTGCTTGCTAATAGCCACAATAGGTACTGAGGATTCCTGTGCAAATAAGAAAGAAACCTCACCCTCAAATGCTCACAGACAGACTGTTCTAATATGATCTGAGAAGAGCTATAATAAAGTGATAGACACGATGTTATGGGAATTCTGAAGGACTTCACTCAACTAACAAAGGGACTATAGAATACTAATTTTCAGGTAACTACTTATAGGCAAATACCTTAATTACAAGAATAAAATATCCCACTAAAGCAGAATACTAAATTTTTACGTTTTTTTTTTTTCCATTAATTGATACAACTACCTTTGGCCATACTATCAGGAAGTCCAATATTTGCTCCTTGAATTTTCCAAAGGCTATGTGAAAAATTTATTGTCCAAAATGTTCTGTTTCCACATTTAAACTAAATGGTAAGAATAATAGGATCAGCTCATTATTATCTATTGCTTCTACCTGTTAATATATGGTGTCATACTTCAGATATATGTAAATGAGTAGTGCTGATTTATATTTTATGAATTATTTTATGTTCACATGCAGAAATTTTCTAGTGGAACTCGTTCTAGAGTTTATCACCTCACATACCCAGAACTACTGAACTCTTTTCTACTCCCAAGTATCCATCTCTAAATATTTGGCAGCTTTTTCTTTTGAAACTTCATAAAACAAAAGGCCTGATTATATCCCTTTTTCTAAATACAAAAACACTCACTTAAATTTATTGTTCTTAAGCTACCTAAGATTTTTGCAAAGTGTCCTGTATTATTTCTCTTCTATAAAAACCGTGCTCTCAGTGAACATGAGCTAGACTCATTGTGCTGAAGACATTGTGACCAAAACTTCAATTTAAAAATCTACACATACACAAATCAACTGAGGTATGCCATTCAGCTATGTGAATATTGAACATTCATTAGGCAACAAATGCCATCAATGTATGAATGGTGACTTATTACTCTTCATTATGAGACTCCAGGATACTGCAAAGGCTACCTCCTCCCCTGGTACAGAAACTCCAGCTACTTTTTGCTGCAGGCTGACACTCACACTTGCTGCCCACCAAATCATAGATCTAGTGATGGAAATGAGTCAGGTAGACTTTCAACATTGTCATACTCAAAAAATTAACTTATTAATATGCTACAGTGGCTATTTGCAACAGAGTTGTGTTGTTATAGCTAAAATACTGGACTCAAAGCTAAAGTATCAATATTCCAGTTTTATAGTTAAGATATCATCTTCCTTTGCAGAAAGCTTGTTGGTCTCCTGCTCCCATTCTTATTCCTCAACCCAACAGTGTTTAATCAGAAATCTAATGCTTAAGATTTATGACACAATTAAGATTATTATTTATCTTTTTTTAACCTTCCCTTTCTCAAAGGAAATCATATAGTTTGGAGGCCATAAACAGAGTGTGTCTTAGTTTTGAGTGAATTAGTTATTGTATTATAGAAGACTATACAATGTCTGACAAAAAGCAAGAGCTCAATAAATAAATCTACCAGCTTTGGAGATGGTAATCAAAGGTGGCTGGTGGAAAGAGCAACAAACTCTTTTACTCTCCTTCAATGCTGTGAGAAAACTATAGCACAAGCTTCCTATAGAAGATGGTATAATCTAAAAGATTGTCTTTATTGCTAGAGCAAAATCCCAAATTTAGATAATCTCAGGTTAAGTCTGTTACCCAAGCAAAAAGTTTTTGCAAGCTTCTTCCTCATTGTGAGTTCATTCTCCTTCATTGATTCTATACTCTTCTTTCCAGAATTAATTCTACTTCCACTTGAAATCCTCAAGTGGGATTAATAATTAAACATTTTTAATGGATGGTCCCTAAATGAAGTATAAATGAATTACCCAGAATATTGATAGATAGCTGAAACATAGATAGATGCAATGGTTCATCATGTATTCTCATTAGAAAATTATGCAGGAACTTGAATAGTACCTTTGTCCACAAGACCTAGACATTTTCATCCTATATGAGAATATCTGGTTTTTTCTTCAACCTAGAGCACCAATTCATCAGTTGTTAAGTGAGTATCTTTTCAAAAGTTTGATTGAGTAAGGATTGGGTTTTCACACTATAGCCCCTTCTCCTTGAGAGAAGAGAGTAACACATAGCAAGTTGAAGCTGAAGAAAGTTAACATGAAGAAATAGTACAAGAAATACAACATGAATTCATGTAGTTATAGTTAAGATATTATTTTCCTTTGCAGAAAGCTTGTCGCTCTCCTGCCCCCATTCTTATTCCTCAACTCAACAGCATCTAATCAAAATCTAATGCTTAATATTTATGACACAATTAGGATTATTATTTATCTCTTCACATAGAAATACAACATGAATTCATGTAGGGATTTCTAAAGCATGGCATGATTCTACTTAATTATATTGTAGTTTAGGGTATTAATCACCAACCTTATATTGACTACTATGAATTTGGTGCCATACAACAGACTATACATATGATCAAAAATGTCTTACCTTTGCCTTAGAGAAGCTTAAACCCAATAAAGGGAGAAAAATCCAAAGTAGACTGTCATATTTCCTGTGATAATGTAAGCACAGGGTGTTACAAGAATACAGGAAAGAACTCCTATTTTCTCAAGGAGAGTTTGCTAATGAATGGAAGACCTTAAGATCTCCTCTAATTAAATAGGACAATCCTCCTTCATCGGAATGAGAATAGAAGATGCCAAAGAATGGCTTGGGATGCTAGTCTTGCAAAAGCCTCATAAAATATATGAGAAATTGAATAAATAGAACTTCTTTTCTAACACGTGTGCTAAAATTATCAAATTAGAGTGAAATGAGTCTTTTGTTTTCTGATGGTAGAACAGGATGCTTTATATCCCCTTTTGTGCGAAAAAAAATTGTATTTGCCAGGATTCTCCGGAGAAGTAAAGCCAATTTTATATATATGTGTCTATATATATGCATATATATGACATATATCATATATATTTTATATTATATATTATATATATTTTATATATATATATAGAGAGAGAGAGAGAGAGGTGAGAGGCAGGCAGAGACACAGAGAAAGAGAGACAGAGAGAAAGAGATTTATTATAAATTATTGGCTCATGTGATTATGGAGGCTGGGAAATCCCATGATCTGACATCTGCAACCTGTTTCCAGTACAGCCAGGGATGCAGTTCAAGGCCTAAATGCTGACAGCGTTGATTCCAGTCTAGAAAAAAAGGCCTGAGAATCAGGAGCACAGAGGGGAGGAGAAGATCAGTGGCCCAGTTCAAACACTCAGGCAGAGAGTGAATTATACCTTCCTCTAGCTTTTTGTTCTATTCTGGCCCTCTATAGATTGGGTGATGCCCACCCACATTGAAGAGGGCTGCCTATTTACTCAGTCCACTGACTCAAATACTAATTTATTTCAGAAATATTCTTAATAGGCACACCTGGAAATAATGTCTAACCACATGTCTGGGCATCCTCTGGCCCAGTCAAGTTGACACATAAAATTAACCATCATGGTGTGCCCACAGGAATTCAAGGGATCCTTAAAGCTAGCATGAGGAAAGCTATCCTAAAGACAGAACTGACACCGGAATGGTGGTGATGGAATAGAGCTAGAGTCCCAATAAACATCAATGCCTAGGTACTGTCTTAACTCTAAACATTTCAATCATAAGAACCAATATGACTTTATTGTTTGAGGCAATTGAGTATATATTTTTTCATTGAAACTATAGATATGACAATGCTTTTTAACTAATTTTCAAAGTGGTAGAAACAAATGTCCTTAAAGATGTTCTGACATAATTTTATGTCAAAATGTGTCAGTTTTTCCATTAAGTGTTGTATCAGACTATATGTTTGTATTATATATGTAAATAGTCCCTAGATAAATGATTGCATGCTATTATTGATGGAAAGCATACCCAGTGAGTCCTGCTCACTTATTTCACTTCTTCTATCATTACATTCTCTTTTCCTCACATTGAAACATTGCTTACATTGGCCACTGGCAGAGGCAATCTGCCTAACTAGATGCGCCAGAAATCTAATCTGGTGTGACAAATGAAAGAGACACATAATTGGCTATAAAATGCTAGGGTGGACCTCTTATCAATTTTAAGCAATTGAAGTTCTCAGAACAACATTATACACAGCACAAGTGATTACAATTACTGTCAGGAATCATTCAATGTTTCTATAATCTTCTAGTGGGTTATAAAAATTAACAAAAACTTTTTGGTAACCAGCGTTTTACTTGCATATGATGATGATCTGGGTTTAGCTCTTTTGATGGAAAGTGGTCCTACCATATAGCTATTGTTATCTTTTTGTAGAAAGTATCTATCCCTAAACATAACATGACTGTTTTCCTTTAAGTATAAAAGCCTTTAATTTTAACTTGTGTCAAAGTTGCTCGCTGAATTACCTGGCAGGTGAGGATACTTGTTTTGTTGACCTCACCTTCTTCTGTCTCTACTAACTTCACAGTCTAGTGAAACTTTTGAAACCCACCAGTATTATTGTTCAGATTTCCTATTGCTCACACAGTTTTTACTCACCCTAATTTTCTAAAAAACTGAAACTTTTGTTTTGAAGGAAACTGAAATTGCATAGCTGAAAGTTGAGAGAAACTCTAGGCCATATACAGAGTTATGTCCCAATAGCTTCCTGGCTTGCATCTTAGGGAACTGATGAAATTTAGTCCAAACTTGGAAATGTCACTCTCAGCAAGAGATTATGCTCTACTACTGTTTATTTCTGGCCTTGCATTCTCCCAGTGTGTCACATGTGTCCTTCCTATAGCTTCTCAGAAAATTGGCTCATTCTCCATTTCACTTATTTTAGTAGGTTCTATATTATTTGGCAGACAGAAAGACACAAATGAGACAGTACTCTATGTGCCCACGTACACCATGTGCTTACAATTAAATTACACTCTTCGGCATGGATGGATTTGTAAAAAAAAAAAACAAACAAAAAAAAAACCTTAAACACAATTTTCCAGGCAACTCTGAAGCTGCAACATTTCAAAACATCCAGGCAGTATTATTCTTTGTTAAGTTTCCAAATATAAAATATTACAACAGGATAATAATAAATTTCCATAGCTATATAGAATTCTTAATGTGGCAATGAACAGATAATTTGAAATGCCCTAACAGAATGAAAATTCTAATAATAACAGTAAGACATCTTAACATGCTTCCAGTTTTTGCCAGGCACTGTGTTCACCACATCACATGAGTTAAATTCTGATACTTTCAACAAATTCTTCACAGTTGGAGTCATTATCCACATTTTAAGGTTGAGGAGTTTGAGACTCATGTAAGTCATTTGCCCAGGGCCACATATGGGTAAGACAAAGGGTCGGGACATAAATTCAGTTTTATTTATCTTTAAAACTTATGCCTTTTCAGCTATAGCACCAACTTCTGCTTCAAAGTATCAGTACGATTAGAATTTTTTGTCACAAAATAATTATAAGTGAGAAATAGATACATTATGGAACATACACTTTGGTTTGTTTAAATGGACTGGTGAGAATGTCAGGACTCAAAAGAAAGTAACAGATTCTACATATTTATTATACTCTAACAAGATCTTAGTTCAGGGCTGACAGTCAAAGATACTACCCAACAATTATATAATTGTTCTTCTCCAAGAAATAAACTAGAGCCATGATATTTGTCATGTATAAAAAGATAGCATCATTGTTTACCTTTTCTAATTATTATTTTAACAAAAATATAGCCATAAAGTTATTTCCTGTTCTATTGTCTTATGATTGTCAATATCATAATAATATTGGCTCTACATAATAAAAAAATTCCAAATGGCTCAAGATTATCTGTGGGGATTCAGTTTAAACTATTTAACTGGCAGATGTATTCTGGACAGAAATTTAGTGTGGATATCAAAGGGCTTCAAAATAAAATTAGTTCAACATTGTTGTATAGCAGAGCTTAATCAGTCTGACAAGTTAAAGAAGACTTTCCTCACAGACAAAGGTTATTTTGACAAAGCCAAATTAAGGACCAGGTAGGTCCTGATACACAGAAAGAATGCTCAGTCCCTACTGAGTCTAGTGATAATTAACATCTGACTTAAACAACCATTGGGAATGACTTGGAATGCTTTAATTGGTCCACCTTACTTGCCTGCAGGCTTTTCTGTTAGGGGAATGATTTAAGTCTCTTCTTGCTTTCAGCTAAATCTCAGCATGTCTCAAATTTCTGAAGCCACCTTTATCATTTGAGGCCCTGAGGAAAAAATGAATTTTAATTCAGCTTTCTTCTTACTTCATGGAGAACCTTAAGTGTTTCCATAGCATTAAAGGGAAAGCTGACTAAGAAGGCAGAACTCAATCACAAGGTAAAGAAAAATAAGTAGGAATGCATCTTTCGGGGTCCATTAATACACATGACCTACTTCTTTCATGGAAAATGTGTCGGATTATTGTACATTTTAATGTAAAAGGGTAATAAAGGATTAATTCGCAAAATCACTGGGGAAGCAAACTGAGATACACTGAGTCAGTACATAGCCACACGTTTGCTTTCACCTATCAATATTTGTCATTCCCACAGGAAAATGGAACAGAAAATTGTGGAATGTTAATTGTATCACTCATATATGTTTATTATTGCCTACTTTGAATGAAACCTATGGGAGGGTGGTTGTAAAAAATAATGATATCCTGATATCCATTAAGGGTGCGGATCTAACTGAAGGCATTATCAAATGTGGTAACACTTATAGCTGGACTACCACAGAAGCAGAAATAAATATGCAGATGCTCCAAACCAGTCTGCCTGTCAATGAACCATTAAGGCACATTATCCCAGCTGTCAACATTTTTTTCTATTTGTTCTGAGTATTCATCTTTGCTAAATAGTAGACAGGCAATTAATCTGTTTATTTTTAAGACTAAACTTTCATAATTTCGGGAAGGTAAAACTATGTAAAGTTATTGATGAAATGATGCTCTCTTGGAAGTTTCTGTATTGGTTTATTTGGTCTTTCTCTTTTTATTATAAATCATACTATCCTAATTCCAGAGAGTATGTATATGTACATATAATTTGTAAAAAATATCTGCCTTATGTTATTTCACATATATGCAATGTATATTTTTATATAAATTCCTTGCACTTAAACACTAAGCCATTATTATTAAGATAGTCCTTAATTTGGTTTTGAGCTATGTAGTTGTGGATAATATGTTCAGAAAGAAATTCTTAAAATCTCTTTGGATGCAGATAAAAACAGCAACATATTTTTTTCTTTTTTGATACTTTTTACTATACACACACACAGAGAGAAACACACACAAACACACTTCAGTAGAATAAGAGTTCCAGTATTTTTGTACACAGAGACAGAAATGCCAGATGAGTAGAAAGTAGAGTCCTGCTGTCATTAAGAGTACTTGAATCTCTAATTCTGAATGAGTTATCTGAGTGTTGTCAGTGAGCATGGTGAAAAATTCTTGTCAATCTGATATTTAATTGGAGGTGCTTCATTCTATTTGTAATCTCTGGGGGAAAGCCCTCTCAAACAGTGGACTCATAACACTTATAATTAAGATACTTCACTCCAAGCCTTGCTTTCATTTAAAATACACTGAATTATTCTTTCACGATTCAAAGGAACACATGACATTGACATGAAATACATGCAGCAAAATCTATGGGACAACAATTTATAGAAGGTTGTCTTAGGGGAAAAGTTTTGTCTTAAATTCCTGTCATTCCTCAAGAGTTTGTTCTATTTGCAGGCAGGAAGAAATTATTATTTGTAAGCATGGGAAGGAACAATGACATTCCATCAAGATGTAATTTTGATACTGCTAAGAATCAAACTTATGGTGTGAGATGGGAGAATATGTTCTTAAGTTGCCCATAAGCTAATTAATCTTCAAATAAGCAAGTGGCCATAATGCAGGTAAAAGAATAGCACTGGAAACTAGAAAAAGTTTAGAAAATGTATAAGTTTAGAAAAAGTTATAGAAAATGTATACATACATGCCAAGTATCCAAAGAAATTTCTGGCAGAGAAGCATAGATAAGGCCAGATAGAAGAAAGGACCAATATGACACATGACTTGCCAAAAATCACCTGTAACTTGATAATGGAGCTCTCATAATTAGAAAGGTAAAAGACAAGATTGGATCAGGTAGGGACCAGAGCAGCCCTTCCATTAATGCTTCTGTGAAGCCCAGGAGGTGTGGGAGGCCATGCTGAACAGAGAGCCTGATGTGGTGATTCCTCCAGGCTGCAGCTTAAAGCTAGAATCTGGGCCAGGCAAAGTGACTTTGACCTGGCATCGCTGGTGTTCAATTAGTGCATTTATTCCAGCTGATGAACAGCTGGCTCCAGTTAGAATCCAGCTGCTTCCACAAAAAAGGAATCTTACCCAACCTCTCTTTCTTGGTTCTCTCAATATCTTGCTTATTGCAAAATCTCTCCCGATCAAATGGACTGCCGGAAACCTAAATGTTCACCTACATGGGGACTTGAAGAGATGAGGTTTTCCTATAATGTAGCCAAAGTTAATTCATCTTCCTGTTAAAAATTAAATAGGCTGGGCATGGTGGTTCATGCCTGTAACGCTAGCACTTTGGGAAGCCAAGCCAGGAGGATCACTTGAGCCCGGGGATTTGAGATCAACCTGGGCAACATAGTAAGACTCTCATTTCTACAAAAATTAAAAAAATTAGCCAGACATGGTGATGTGCACCTGAAGTCCCAACTGCTCGGGATACTGAGGTAGGAGGATCACTTGAGCCAAGGAGTTCAAGGCTGCAGTGAACTGTGATCGTGCCACTTCACTGTAGCCTGGGCAACAGAGCAAGACCTTGCCTCAATAATAATAACAATAATAATAATAATAATAAAATATAGAGAAAATTACATAACACAAAGAAAAATTTACTGTTCAAAAGGAAGAGCACAATATAAAGAAACAAAACATGTCTTCCTATGACAATTTTAATAAGAGTTAAGAAAATGCATAGAAATGCATACTTTTATTATTTGTATTTTTTCATTTACTAAACTTAATATTACTTTCAAAACATTCACTATGTGCTGAATGCTCTTCTAAGCATTTTATTAATGTTAACATGTTTAGCCAACATAATAACTTCTGTCCTAATTTCATTTTCACAAATTTTATTCTTAAGAAACACCAAGAGTATGTTTGGAAAATAAAAGTGGAAGAAACAAAGAGAGAAAACTCTGAGATCAAAACAGGATCATGGCTTCTAGTATAATTTGTTGCAGGTAGAACCAGCTCAATAAATATGTGTGGACTTGATTTTGTTAAATGTAAACTATTTCTGAATATTATTGATTTATTTATTTTTATTGTATTTACTTTTTTGAGACAGGGTCTCACTCTGTCGCCCAGGCTGGAGTGCTATGTCACAAATTTCTACTTTTAGAATATAAGCAGCACATTATAGATTAGGTTATTAGAAAAAATAACACTAGTGTCAAAGTAATAAAGAATCTTGAAAAGTTCCCATATACTTAAAAATAAATGATAGATAAATTGTATAATAAGGGAAAATATTATGGGTGAAATATTAGCAATTTTTAATAATGTTATTAGAGGAATCCCAGGATGAAAAATGGAAGTAATCAATATTGAAGAAATTATAGGAAAATGGTTGAAGAAAATTTTCTTTTTTAATGAAAGTTTTCATTATACTAGATTAAATTGATGATGATGATGATAACTGACATTAAACTAATAGTAATTATTAACTTCCAAAGTGTTATATGTCTATAAACTCATTTAATGTTCTCAACTTATTAACCCTGTTGAACCTGATTAAAGGATGAGTGTTAATATCAGCATTTTTGCCCAGGCAGAAATTAAAGTGTAAGACGACAGTTAAAGCCTAGATTCAGTCAAACTCATGAAGCCTTCTCCTGATCCATTCGTTCTGATCACCTCTGTACCACACTCTATTGATTAAAAGAGACCCACACCTTAGTAAAGTGACTGCGCTTTCAGAGAGAAAAAAAAGCCACAACTATTCATATACAAATATCGAAAACAAACACTAGAACAAAACAAAACCAAAAACAGCTTGGTGACTAAAAATAATAGACTTGAAAGTTGCCTAAGACAAAAATTAATACCAAAACCATAAATCCATTTCCGCAGACTTTGAGTAAAACCAATTGAGATTCCAAGTTTTTATATCTAGCCATGAAAATGTTTATAAAATTTACTTATTAGAAAAAAAAAGTAATTCAAAGTCATCTTTGGAGCCAATAGTGAAATGAATCAAAACAAGTTATTCAATAATATCAGAACTCTGTTAAGAATTAGTGATTAATTAAAAACAATAAAACCATAAAAATTCTAAATTCTTATGTATATCAGTACTAATGTCAGAAATAGATGCTGCATTATTGATTTAAAAATTAATTCAATAATATTTACTGAGAGATAACAATGTGCTAGGTTCTATGGATTCAACAATGACCAAAACATGTACCTTCCTGCTCTTGTGTAACATTTTTTTACTGAGGAGAATGGAGCCATAATAAAAAAAATACATCAGGCAGTGATAAATGCCACGAAGAAAAATAAAGCAGAAAAAGGGAAGAAAGAGTATGGGCAATTATGAAAGGCCTTATTTGTGTTAAGGAGACCTTTTAATTGACGGAAGTGATGGAGTGAGCCTGGAGATGATCTTCCCAGAAAGAAGGAACAGCAAAGAGCAAGGAACTTGATGTTGAAGACTGCCTGGCTGGTTTCAAGGAAAAGAAGGAAGTGAGTTAGGAAAGAAGGTCAAAGTAAGAAACTGATTATTTAGGCCAGGAGTTGGCAAATTATGCCTATTGATTAAATTCTTCTCAACAAGTATTTTTGTAATGAAAGTGTTATGGGAACACAAACACACAACTCAATTATTCACATTGTATATGAATGCTTTCAGCCAACAACAGCAGAGCTGGATAGTTGTGCATGGTGTTTACTGCCTGCAGAGCTGCAACTAGTGTTTATTTACTTGCCTTTGACCAAAAATGTTTACTGGGACTTGGCTTATGCCATTATTAGGTGAAAAGTGCTATGACATGACATAACATTAGAAGAATTATCATTGTTGCTGCCATTTAGCCAATTGGCCTTTTGTTTTGTTTTGTTTGTTTGTTTGTTTTAGGGTCTCTATTATGAAGGCTGAAGTGCAGTGGTGTGATCATGGGTGATTGAGATGAAGTGTGTATGAAGTGTTTAGATTCTGTATATATTTGAAGAAAGTGTTGAATTAGTGACTGATTTGATGTGGGGTGAGAATGGGAGAGGAGTCAGGGGTAACTCAAAAGATTTTTCTCTCAGTAAGTGTAGAATGCAATTCCTATTGACTAAGGAAAGAAGAAATGGAAAAAAATACATTGCAAAATAAGAGTTTCAAAATAATCTGTATCTGAGACCTGGAATTAGTGAGGATAGAATTAAGAAATATTGTTTAATTCTTGACATTGACAGAGAAATAGATTAGCTATATTTTTTACATGTAAAATCACCACAATGACCAAGTACAATGTACTTTGAATACTTAATTGTAAACTTTGAGTTCATAATTAACATAAATAATTGATTGGCTAAATAAATAATAGGAAGACGAGAAATTCGTTCTTCCAAGAATTGCAAATAATTTATATTGATAAATGCCTCTCTGGGAGATAAAGATTAATTTTCACCCATTCCCCCTTGAGTGTAGGCTGCACTTAGACTTGCTTCTAAGGAATATAGTAGGGAAAGAGGTAAAAATGGGTAACTTCACAGTGGACAATCCTGGCAAACAAAACTTTTAACAAAATGATCAAGTGAATGTTACCAATGATAAGTCATGCTGATAGCTTGCACTGCTGATATGAGATGATAAGAAAGGTACTTCACCTCTGTGGTATTCCTCCCCAAAATTATACCCCTGGTCTAACCGTGAGAAAAGAAATATGAGAATCTCAAACTAAGACACATTTTACAAAATACCTGACCAATACTCCTCAAAAGTGTCAAGACCATGATAAACAAGAAAATAAACTGTCATAAACCAGAGGCAACTAAGGATACACAACAACTAAATGCAATGTGGTATCCTGAAACAAAAGGACATTAGTGGAAAAATAAAATACAAATAAAATCTGGAGCTGGGTTAATAGTAATGCACCAATTTGTCTTCTTAGTTGTAAAAAATGTAACTTGGTAATAATGTAAGATGCTGACAATAGAGAAAACGGGACTATCTTTAAACTTCTGTAATCTAAAATGATTCCAGAATATAAAAGTTTATTCTAAAAGTATGAGCTCTAAAAATCACTACTAGTAAAAATATCTTATATTTTTCCAATAACTAGCAAAGAAAAAAATTAATTTAAAAGATGACCATTCACACTGAACAAGAAAAATCATAAGTCCTAGAAAGCGTGGTACTCAAAGTATTAAAAACCGAGTGAAATATACAAGTTAATGGAAATATAATGACATAACCTAAGTACGATTAATATTAACATATTCATTCCTCTTCTCAGAAGTGAAGCTTACAATAATTTCTTAATGGGAATGTATTGTGAAAAATTAAAATATTCTTAAATAGAATTAAATTAAAACTTAAAAGAATAATTTAAAAACTGAATGTCCTGTCAAAAAGCAAGAAATATCATTCTAAGAAAAAAATCTAAGGAGAAAAATCATAAAGTATATCTGAGATATAATTGATGTTAGGTTCAATGAGAATTGTGTTAAAACTAAATTAAATTTAAATTAATATTATCAGCTGAGAAAAAGATACACAAACTATATATTTCATTCCAAATGTTAACATCTCTAATTGATAAAAAAGAGTCCAACAAATTATCCTGTGTAAGTGGACAAAATGATGTACAGTAACTTCATTAAAGTATTATATAAAGGCACTTTATAATACATATTTATGTTTACAATTGTAAAATTGAATGGAAATCAATAAAAAATTCTGGTTCACACAAAAAAACTGTACTGCTTATTAATTTGCATTTATTTCATTATTTAATATTATAGACATTTTAAAATAATATTTTGTAAAACTTCAGCTTGCAGTGTTTGTAAAACTTTTAGGTACTACTTTATCATTTTTATAGATAATGTAAATATATATTTTTTTAATTCTAGTAAGTAAAAGGTGAAAATAATCTATATTTATTAATAAAATTTGATTCAATAAGTCCAGTATGCTTATTTAATGGAAACTTTCTATTCATTAAAAAATCATGTTTCCTAAGGATATTTAATGTTTTTGGGAGCGTATATAGGATTTATTGTTAGGAAAGAAAGAAGCTTGCAGGATATTGTATTAATATGCTTCCAATTATTTTTTAAATAAAAATATATGAATGAAATATAGCAAAACTTTAACAGTTAATTTCTCTGGCTTATAGCATGGCTTTTAGAGAATGGGTAGGTAGATAGATGAGGTAGATTAGATAGAGAGAGAGATACATATACAGATTGATTTTTTTCTGTATTTTCAGTGTAGTTATTTTATAATCAATAAAAACAAATGTTAAAAGGTAAAAGAATGAACTTCCTAAATTTTTGCTTAAAATTTTTACTGGACAAGTGAATTAACATTCTTTTACCTTTCCTCCATTTTTTTTTTACATTTTTTTTAAAAAGGTAGAGAAGCAAATACATAGAGAATATTTAATTCCTTATTAATTGTAAATACATAGTACATATCTAATTACATAAAGCAGAAAGATAGATTGATGAATAAATCATATACAAAAAAGGAAAAGTACCATACAAAAATGTCATTTTATAGGAGTTATCTCATCATTAGAACTATGCCTAGAACCTATCAATAATATTTTCTGTACTCAAAACTCTTTATTTTTTCTTCCCTTCCTCCCTTCCTCTCTTAGCATTCTGTCTTTTTTTCTTTATGGAAATAGATACTGGAAAATAAGTGGCTGGCAGAGTAAGGAAGGTGGTTAGGCTAGAATGTGCCCATAAAGAAGGACTCACCTGAGAAATTTGCCTAAGATATGAAAATGCAAAATGAACTTAAGAGTTTTTATTTTATTTTATTTTATTTTTATTTTTTATTTTTTTTGAGACGGAGTCTTGCCCTGTCGCCCAGGCTGGAGTGCGATGGCGCAATCTGGGCTCACTGCAAGCTCTGCCTCCCGGGTTCACTCCATTCTCCTGCCTCAGCCTCCCGAGTAGCTGGGACTACAGGCGCCTGCCACCACGCCAGGCTAATTTTTTTTTGTATTTTTTTAAGTAGAGATGGGGTTTCACCATCTTAGCCAGGATGGTCTCGATCTCCTGACCTCGTGATCCACCCGCCTCGGCCTCCCGAAGTGCTGGGATTATAGGCGTGAGCCACCAAGAGTTTTGTATGTAGTCTGGGGTAGTGTGGTATGGATGGTGGATGGAAGAAACAAGCCTGAAAAAGTGGTTTATGACAAGATGCTAAATTAATCTTAGCCATTATAAGAATTTTGAACATCATATTATAGACAATAAGTGACCATTGAGAAATGTGTGTTTAACTTGGATAATTTTAATAGCAATGTAAAGCATGATTGCAGAGATAAAACAGAAATAAGGAATAGTTGGAATGTAAGAATTCATGCAAAAAATGATGGGATCTTAGAGGAAAAAGAGGAGGAGAAAAATTTCAAGAAATCTTCTTAAATGTATAATTACAATGATTTGTAATATGTGTTTGGTATCCAATTACATGTGTGCAGATGGATAGATATAACAATGAGAGCTGAGGCAAAGAAACTTCTGACCTAAACTTCTGGAAGGATTGAATTAAAACCATAAAGCTACTGGAAAGTTTCTCCAAAATGACTCTTAATGTTAAAGGTTTTTGATACTAGTCATGATGAGCACAATAGAAACAAAGCTGGGCCGGGCACAGTAGCTCATGCCTGTAATTCCAGCACTTTGGGAGGCCAAAGCTGGTGGATCACCAAAGGTCAGGAGTTTGAGACCAGCTGGGCTGACATAGTGAAACCCCGTCTCTACTAAAAATATAAATATTAAAGATTAGCCAGGTGTGGTGGTGCACACCTGTAATCTAAGTTACTTGGGAGACTGAGGCAGGAGAATCGCTTGAACTCAGGAGGCAGAGGTTGCATTGAGCCAAGATGGCACCACTGCACTCCAGACTGGGCAACAGAGCAAGACTACGTCTCAAAAAAAAAAAAAGAAAGAAAGAAAGAAAGTTTGCCATAGCTACGAACTCTTACAGATCAAGAAGGACACCATTAAATCCTTTTTGTTAGAAACCATAATTGTCTACATTATTGTTATAGTCTAATTATCTAAATCAGCATATTTTAGGCAAATGAGTATGAATGAATGAAATCCTTTGATTCAGCTTTTAATATCGGAAAGTGAGACAATGAATTATTTGCAATGACATTTCCATCCTGATATAGAAAAACAAAAAGTGTGACAAAAGCGATGGATCATGTATAGCAAAACTTGGAAGACAATGCCACTAATGGACATTATTGATTTGTGTCTGGTCCATTTGCAGGACAGAAAGACCTGTCATATAGGAAATTAGTGCTAATTTCCTATATGACAGGAAGAGTTTCCTGTAAGAGATACCTTTTCAAATTTGAAAATAGTGTTTCTATTTTAAAAAATTATTTTTTGTGTGTGTTTTAAAAAAAATATGTTCCGGTGTTAAATTTTGGCAAATTATCTTTTTTCAAATTTAAGTTGATTACTAAGGGGGAAATGTGTTAATCTGTGCTATTCTAAAGAAGGAAAAATATAGAATTAAATTTTGAATGGGAGAAGCACAGGTGATTTTTTGTGCTCTCAATCTTAAAAGACATCTTGAGAAAAATTATTTTTTTATCTTCTGCTATGTTTAAAGCAAAAGATAAATTAGAAAATTCTAGGAAATGGAGTTATGGTATTATTAAGAGAGTTTGAAAAGGAAGTTGAAAAAAAATCTGAAATACTATATTCAGGCATTTGAGTCAAAGTTTAAGAATGAGAGAAGACAATGTATGAATATTAATTCCAAGCTAATTGGGATACAGTTCAAATAAACACAGCAATAGGGATTGGCATATGATAATTAGATAAAAAAATTTAGATGTGCTTGCCTATTAAATCTGCCAGATTATTTTTCAACTGCTTTGTTGATAAAGTGCCTCTCACTATATGCCAAGCACTGTTTTAAATGTTCGAAATAGTTTGATGAAGGAAACACACCGACTTCCTGCCCTCCTGAAGCTGACAGTTCTTGCCTGGAAAGCTTACACTCAAGCAACAAGTCCCTATTAAAGTGCCAGTGACTGAAGATCTCCTAAGCTCTCCAATATGATATTACTGGCTCAGTCTCCCGTACTATCAAGTAATGTTAATTCTTCTACATAGCATTTGCAATTCTTGATAAAGATCAACCTATTTGCAGCATTTGTCTTTGCACATTCTAGGTACTTAAAAACGCCAAGTCTCAGATGAAAACAGGAATGAAATCTTGAACATATTCTAAGTTCCTTATGGAAATGGGTTAGCCTACTGCCTGGATGTGAAATCATATCAGGAACTTAACATTTCACAACAGAATGTCAATTCAGCTGCCTGAGTGTGTGAAATGTAAAACATATGGATCGTTTTATCAACAACACAAAATATTGGCATTTCAGACACTCATTAAAAATGTCAATCATAAATTAACTGTGATGCCAAAAACTTGCTTGAGACATCTGATATTTGAGAGATAGAATTTAAAAGATATATGAAGCATCCATTTCTCTAGTCAGGAAATCATGAAACTGAAGCTGAGATTTGCATTTAGTTTTCCAAATTACATGACTTGACGGAATTGAGAGTTTATTCTTCCCCTTACACCATTACGTCCATGCTTTCAGAGAATAAAATTTGATGGTTTAATGACTGCATTCACTTACTTATAAATATTTATAGAGTTAGTGCCACAATTATGCCAAGTATAAATATAAAGGACATATAAGATAATAAACTTGCTTTTTTAAAAAAAACAGAAAGGTGTTATAGTCAAGGACCTCTCTGTCCTCTTAACATGAGTTTACATTCCTCCTTTCTTACTCTTAAGCTATATCCTCTTAGGCAAATTTTATTATCTTTCAAAACACCAATGTTTTTATTTGTAAATTAGATTTTGATAGCATGTGCCTGTGTCATACAGCTCTTGCAACAATAAAAAATTATGATATTTTTAAGAGCTTAGCACTGCACTTGTGTGGTAAACAGCTGTTATGTTTATGCTCGCTAAGTTCTAATTATTGTTAAAGATACTATTTTACTTTTTATTTTAGGTAATTATAATTAACATGTAGTTTGAAGAAGTAAGTTAGAGAAATTCTGTATAACCATCACCCAGTTCACCCAGTTTTCCCCATTGTGACATCTTGTATAACTATAGTACACAGTAATATCACAAGCAGGAAATTGGCATGGCTACAGTCACTAAAGCTTATTCAGAATTCACCAGTGTGTATATTTAGTGCTAAAACATTTTATCTTACATTTGTGTGACCATCACCACAGTCAAGACACAGGATAGTTCTATCACAGGGCTTCTGCTTGTTACTCTTTTATAGTGACAGCTATCCTCCTCCCTTACTCTGCCTCTAACACTTGACAATCACTAATCTCTTCTCTATCTCTATAATTTTAAGATTGTTATATAAATGCAATCATATACAACCTTTGGAGACTATTTTTTCGCTCAGAATAGTTTCCTTAAAATCCATTCAAATTTTCCTTTTTGAGACTAATATTCCGTAGTATGGATGGACTACAGTGTATTTAACGTATTTATCCATTGAATGACATATTTGTTGTTTCTGTATTTGGAGTATTAAACTTAAAGCTGCAGTGAACATTGGTGTACAGATTTTCAGGTGAGCATGTTTTCATTTCTCTTGGAAGAATGATCAAGAATACAATTGATTTGTCATATGGTATGTGGACATTTTTTAACTGTTACATATAATTTTGGGAATGGCTGTCTTTACTTTACACTCCAACCAACAGTGTATCACAGCTCTAGGCCTTCCACATCCTAGATAGCATCTGATGCAATCACTATTTTATATTTCAACCATTTTAATAGGTGTGAAGTAAATATTAGTATCATTTTAATTTGCATTTTTCTGATGAGTAACAATGTTCATATATTTTCATGTGTTTATCTGCTATCTCTATACCCCCTTCAGTTAAAATATCTGTTTTATCTTTTGCCTGTTTTCTCATTGAATCATTTTGTTGTTTTTGTTGACTAGATATCTTTACATATTCTAAATACAATTCTTATTTTGGATATGTGGCTATCGAGGTGTTTCTGTTTTGTTTTCTTCTGTCCGTAGCTCATTTTTACCCTCTCCACAGGGTCATTCACAGAGAAAAAGTTTTTAATTCTTGTGAAATCTAATTATCAAATTTTTCTTTTACAGACTTAGACAAGTCTAAGACCTTTTCACCTATCTCTAAGTCCCAAAGAGTTTCTCCTATGCATTTTTGTAAACATTTTACAATTTCAGGTTTTCAATTTGAATTCATAATTCATTTTAGTCGAGTTTTGTAATAATGTGTGATATTTAGGTTCAAGGTTTTTTTTTGTTTTTTTTGTTTTTTTGCCTGTGAATCTTCAAATGCTTTAACACCGTTCGTTGAAAAGACTATACCTCTCCCACTGAATTGCCTTTCCATTTTTGTTCACCTCCGCTAGGCACATATTTGTTGGTTTTTATTCCAGTTCTCTCTATCCTGTTTCATTGATCTATGTGATCCTCTTTCCACTAATACCACAGTCTTCATTCAGATTCCAATAGGACCTATTATCAGATAACAGTTATTCCTCTCATTTAGTTCACATATATAAAAATATGTTTTAGCCTTTCTAGGTTTTTTGTCTTCCCATGTAAATCTCAGGATAAAGTTTTCTAGGCTACTTAACTACTTACTAGGAATTTGAAAGGAATTGCATTTAATCTATAGGTGAATTTGGAATGGTTTAACACCTTTACTGTTAGTCTTCAAATTTACAAATGTGGACTGTCTCTACATTTATTTGGATCTTCTTTGATTTCTTTCATCAGAATTTTGTAATTTTCAGAGTATAAATCCTATAGATATTTTGTTAGGTTTCTATCTGAATGTTTCACTTTCCTTAAAGCAATTTTCAGTGTTTTTTTTAATTTCAGCCCTCACATATTTATTTTTAGTGTATAGAAATGTTATTTATTTTCATATATTGATATATCACTCAGCCTTGCCAAACTCACTTCTTAGTTCTAAGACTTTTTTTGTAGAATTTCTTTCTTATCAATCAGTAAACCCTTTTTTTATTTTCTTGCTTTATGGTGCTGGTTAGAACTTCCAGCACTACGTTTAATAAGAGAGTGGTGAAAGTCAACATCCTTGCTTTGCTCATAAATTTAGTGAAAAAGCATTTAGCTTTTCAATGTTAACTATGATGTTACCTGTAGATTCTTTGTAGCTGTTCCTTAATCAAATTGAGGAAGTTTATTAATTTGCCAGGACTGTCATAACAAAGCACCACAGTCTGGATGGTATAAACAACAGAAATTTATGTTCTTACAGTTCTGGAGGCTAGAAGCTCAAGATAAAGGGTCTGTAGGTCTCTTTTTCTGAAGTCTTTCTCCTTGGCTTGTAGACGGCTGTCTTTTCTCTATGTCTTCATGTGATCTTTCCTCTGTGTGTGCCTGTGCACTTGTCTTCTCTTCTTATAATGACCCTAGTCATATTGCCTTAGGGCTTACCCCAGTGACCTCATTTAAATTTACTCATTTAAATACCCTGTTTCCAAATAAAGTCATATTCTGAGGTACTGGGAGTTAGGACTTCAAAATACGAATTTGGGGAAAATACAAACATAAGAAATTCTGTTCTTATTTATTTGCTTTGATTTTCTATTAAAAATGGGTGCTAGATTTTGCCAAATGCTTTTTATGTATCAGTTGTTGTGATTATACAGCTTTTCTCTTAAAGAGTTGATGTGGTGTATTACTTTTTAAAATTAAACCAGCCTTATACACCTAGAATAAATCCCATTTGATATTGGGATATAATTTTTTCATAAATTACTGGATTAAATTTTATAACATTCTGTTTAGAATTATTTTTTCCTAAGATCATAAGAGCTATTCATCTATAATTTAATTTTTGTACTGTCTACCTTTGTTATCGGGCTAATACTGGCCTCATAAAATGAGTTAGAAAGTGTTTCTCATTGTCTATTTTCTAGAAGACATTGTCTAAAATTATGTTAATTATTTGATAGAATTCTCCAGTGAAATCATCTTGTCTAGAGTTTTCTGAGGGAGGAGTTTAATTTTTAAAAATTCCATTTTTAAGTCGTTGTAAGACTATTCAGAGTATCTGTTTTATCTTGCTAAGTCTTAGTAGTGTGTGATCCAAAGACCATTTCTTCTAAATTGTATGATTTATGGTATAAGGCAACTTAAAGTAATCTCTCATTATCCTTTTAATGTCTGCAGAGTCTCTAATGGATATTCCTGGTTACATTCCCACTATTGGTAACTTGAGTCTTCTCTCTTTTTACCTCTATCTTCCTGACATTTGTCAATTTTATTGGTTTTGTGAAGAACTAGCTTTTAGTTTCATTGATCTTTTTATTGTTTTTCTCTGGTCATTTTTATTGATTTTCACAATTATAATTTCCTTCATTCAGCTTGCTTTATTTTGTGCTTCTTTCTTTCTCCTGAAGTTTGAACATAAGTTATTAATTTAAGACCTTTCTTTGTCTCGAATGCAAATATTTAAAATGTTCCTCTTAGTACTATGTTACCTGTATTCGACATATTTTGATATGTTCTATTTTTGTTTTCATTCAATTATGTTTTTGAAACTTATTTTGACACTTTTTCTTGCATTCATGAGTTATTTAGAAGCGTTTTGTTCATTTTCATGTGTTTGGAGACTTCCTTCTTGTCTTTTAATTGTTTCTAGCTTGATTCCATTATGGCCAGAGAATATGCCTTACGTAATTTTGGTTCTTTATGTTTTCTCAGGTTTGTTTTATGGCCCTGATACGGTCCACCTTGGTGAATATCCTGTAGGTGCTTGATAAAAAATTCTTTATTCGCCGGTGTTGCCTGGAGTGTTCTATATGTCAGTTAGATTCTGGTGGTTGTTTGTGTAATTAATTTCTTCCATATCCTTGCTGATTTTCTGTTCAATAATTATAACAATTGCCAAAAGGGGGAGGTGGAGACAAATTATGGATTTGTCTACTTTTTTAGTTCTGTAAGTTTTTGCTGTACGTATTTTTGGGCTCTGCTGTCTGGTGCATATACATTTAAAAATTTATGTCTTTCTGATTGATTCTTTTACATTATAAAAACACATTTTACTAAGAATTACGAGTTATGTTGCCCTGCATACATTTTATGGAATCTTAGGAAATACAGTCTACATGAATTAATGATTAAATAGGGTAGGATTAAACCCTATCGCTGTAGTAAGATAAGTTATTTTAACCTTCAGTGAAATCACTGGAAATACATTTTATAGGATGGCATATGACAACAAGAAAGAGAATCTCAGTCTTGTGCAAGGAGTTTTAAATACTGTAGTATATTAGCTTGTTCTGCTGTAACAAAAGTACCACAGACTTCATGGCTTATAAACAAACAGAAATTCATTTCTCACAGTTCTGAATAATGGAAGTTCAAGATCAGTGTGCCAGCATGGCTCTGTTCTGGTGAGGGCCCTTTTCCAGGCTGCAGACTGCCAATTTCTCATTGTATCTTCACATGATAAAAAGAGAGTGAGCAATCTCTCTGTCCTCTTATGGGGCACTTGATATGTTATCACACATAAGTGAAAACACTTAAGCCCCAGGGCCACTTCAGTTTATCTTGATTTGATACAGAGATAAATAAATGGCTGGATGGTATGGAAGCAGATCGTGATCAGGACTAACATTTTCCTAGTCATTTCTAACTAGGATTGAGGGACATGTTTGTATGTTTGTATGTGTTTGTGAATGTGACCATGCCCACAATTTTCAAATCCTGTTTTCAAAGCAGTGGGAGTTTTTGCCACAACAGTCCCCCTTCCTAACCTTCCCAGACCTCTTCTTTCCAGTGAAACCTTGTGGCACCTGAGAAGTTCTAAAGAATCTTCTTTGACTCTATGTTTGTCAGTCAGTAGATAGCAGGTATATTTGAGGCATTCAGTAAACACTTGTTAAATATGAAAGTAAAAGATTTTATATCTATACCTATATTTATATCTATTTGATCTTTATCAGTTTGGGAACAGGGGAAGCTTGCAAGTCAACTATAGGAAAAAAAGAAATACAGTTCTGATTTTCAGAGTATTTGTGTGCCTAGGGCTGATTTTCAGATGGTGTATTGTATACTAAAAAATAAAATTAACCTGTGTCTACTATAAGGATCTTAAAATGCCATATTAAGTTTTTGACAATTAGAGTAAAACATAAAATGACACATATTATGATTTATATGTGTCTCTAGCACCAGCTTCCCATGGTCACCAATAATCAGCAGCAACAGATTAAATAACAGATCTCAGTTAGTTAACTCAATGGCAGAAATTAACTCTCAAATTTCCTTTTAACACCCATTGTGGACTCTGTAATCTTTGTTCACTGATTGACAAGTTCTGTATGAAACATCAGGGTAAACAAGGTTGTTTTAGGTATCTATTCATATGTAAGAAATTAATCCCAAAACTTAGGGGCTTAAAATAATGCGTATTCATTTTTGTCACAATTTTAATGATTAAAGAATTCAAGTCTGACTTATCTTGAGGTCTCTAAGAAGGCTGCTAATCATGGTGTAGGTTGGGGCTGTCATCTCATTTGAAGACTTGACTGGAAGAGGATTTGCCTTGCTGGTGGTTTGTTGAAGGTCTGTCTTAATTCCTTGTCATGAAGGCCTCTCTACAGCATAGATTAAAACTTGGCAGCTGACTTCCTTCTAAGTGAACAGGAGGGGGTATCAAAGCCTAAAGTCAAGTCTCTTTTTATAACCCGATCTTAGAAAAGCTACCTCATCAGTTTTGCTTTATTTTATCAGTAGGCCTAGGTCATACTCAAGGGCAGGAAACACAAAGGCGTGATTACAAGTAGGCAGAGATTATTGGGGGTTATATTAGAGGATACCTCCCACAAGAGTATACAATAGGAGAAGGGTAGAAATTAGACCCTTCTACTGTATGCAAAAATCAACTCAAATGAATAAAACAATTAAATATAAGAGCTGAAACTAGAAAACTCGTAGAAAGAAACAAAGGGAAAGCTCCATGACATTGGTCTTTGAAATGATTTCATGGATACAACATCAAAAGCACAAGCAATAAAAGCAAATGTAGACAAGTGGGACGAGATCAAGCTAAAAAACTTCTGCACAGTGAAAGAACCCATCAACAGAGTGAAAAGGCAACCAATGGAATGGAAGGAACTATTTGCCAAAAAACAAATAATTCTTACCATTTTACGTAAAGTACTTTCATCTTTTCTTGATCTAATGTTGACATCACTTTGCTTAACAATTTGGTATAAAAAATATAATAACTTGGTATCTCTTACTGAATATTAGAAAATCAATGCCACCAAATTTATTAAAAATTCTGTAATTTGAAGTTTAGTTATCTTTTGTTGAATTTTAAAAATAGGCTTAAATGCTGGTGGAATCTGTTGATATTTAAAAATATTTAATTGGAATTGCTATTTTGGAAGTGAGGCAGTTTGTATCTGCAGCATTTATATTTATTAATCATCTCCTTTTTTCTTCCTTATCCCACAACCACCTTCACAAAATAGGATTATCTTGAGTGTATGTTTATTTTTCTGTTCATTTTTATCTATTTTCTTTAATTGCAAAACTGAGAGATAAAATCAAGTGGATTTTCAAGGAAATGTGGATCTATCAGTAATTTAAACACATTTACACACATACTTCAGAAAATCAATGTGTTTTGTTTTTGTTTTTGTTTATTGTTCCTTCTTAGATAAAGCATAACATTTTTCCCCTAAAAGGAACACTGCTTTTAGTTTAATGAGAATGGCAATTTACTTTATTATCAAAATAAGTCGCCTACAGTATCTGCTAAAGTATAATTTAAAATATCACATACTTGTGATACTTTCTTTTTTGTATGACTTTAGATTTCAGAATCCCATATTATGTCACATTGACGTTTTTAATAAAATCTATTATTATCATTGTATACAATATTGAACCTTTGAATCCATTCCCTACTGTGGAATTAGATGTGTAACTATTGTCTCATAATGAATATGCTGCCTAAAAATGGACTCCTTTATAAACACAACAATAACATTTTGAATTCCATCATTATGAAAGATTAGAAATGTACAATATAATTCCCAGGGTTTTAAAGTTAATGTGAAACTAGCTGAAATATTTACATTTTCAGTGCCAGTTTAATTAACATATTCATTGTCTTGAATCAAAACATAATTTGCACTGGGTTTAAATATTTCAGTATTATGTTTGTACAGAGTTTAAACACTGTCACAGAGGGTCCTTAGTGTTAATTTTAAACTCTGGCTAATGAGTCATTTTAAGCTAACCCAAGCTTCTTGGTGCACTGCAACAGAGCTTTACATTTCCTGACAAATTGAATTCCAGCCAGGTGTCACTCTTTAGAATCCCTAAGGTTTATCTCTGCCCTTTCTGCTCTGACATATGCTTTTGACATACCCAGAAAATTGTGTGATAGAAACCTGTGGAGTGGTAATACCCTCTACAGCAGGGGTCAGCTGTAAAGAACCATTAATGAGGCCTCCCATAAACAAACTCTTCTGAACGGTGAGAGTGGCATAGAAAAAGAAAAGAGATGTAATCTACTGTTACATAATATATACAATGCAGGATTCTCTTATAATCCATTCTTCAGTGTTTTTCCAAAATGCAAAAACAAGCTGATTTTTATGTCCATATCCCCCATGAAAGAAAATTAGGTTATTTGAATTTTTATTTTTTCCTCTTAATTTAAGAAGTATCAAAAATTGCTTTTATTAATGTTCCACAATGGATATGTTATCTACTGTTTATATTCATTAAAATATGAAAATATGTTTCACTTTTTGACAACACATACCTGAGGCATTCGAACAGAAATCAATTAATATTTGTGTAATTCACAAGAAACTGTTCCTTGTGGACCCCACCATGCAGGTAAATCTGGAGTGAAAATCATCAAAAACAATAAAGAAAGCATAACTACATGCAATAAGATGAAAGCTATTAAGTACAAATAAAATGAGATATTCAGCTCACAATTTTTTCTTAAAGTAAAATCTGCTTGAAATGCAATACTATCTCTATAGAGAAGCACTAAGTAAAACAATTCAAATTATTTCAATTACTCCATAAAGAAATAAACAATATCATAGACCAAGAAGCAGGAAAACATGGGCTATGATTAGATGACCTAGATAACCCTGCAGTTATATTACCTGCATAATTCCTTTGTTTGATGAGATATTTGATGGTTATTTCTGATTTGTGTATTTGTTGACATTTAGTTTTTTGTTTATTATGGCTGGGCACTGTGGCTCACACCTGTAATACTAATGCTTTGGGAGTCCGAGGCAGGTGGATCACCCAAGGCCAAGAGTTCAAGACTAGCCTGGGCAACACAGCAAGACATTTCTAAAAAAAAATTTAATTAGCCAGGCATGCTAGCTCATGCCTGTAGTCTCAACTACTTGGGAGGCTGAGACAGGAGGACTACTTGAGCCCAGGAGTCCAGGACTTCAGTATGACAGTGAGCTATGAGCACACTACTACACTCTAACCTGGGTGAAAGAGTGAGAACCTGTCTCAAAAAAAAAAAAAAATTGCTTATTGATGTTATATGCAAATATGTTCTGATTAATGCATTCATTAGTATACAAAACACAGTCATTTTAGAAGGAAAGTCAACCCCAATAAGTGAGTAAGTGGAGTCTGCAAACCTCTAGTGTTCAATGTGTTGAATATGCTTCAAACTTCTTGGCTGTGACATAAGTTTTCCCAAGTATTTTGAGTAAAATAATGCACACCTAGACCTTTTTTAAAGCACTCACTGTAACACAGGAGGCATAATTTGAGTTATTTAATTTATTTTAAACTAATTAGAAAAAAAGTCCCTTTCTCCTTTTGTAAAATATACTTACTAACAACTGATGTTTACATAAAAAATCTGCCTAGAGGTCGTTTATGTTTTTTCTCAGTAAAATATAAACAACTGAAATTAAATACAGTAAGATATTAACTCTTGATGGATTAAAGGCTTAAATGTAAAATCCAAGACTATAAAAACTCTAGAAGAAAATCTAGGCAATGCCATTCAAGACCTAGGCCTGGGCAAAGATTTCATTATGAAAATGTCAAAAGCAATTGCAACAAAAAAACTGACAAGTGGGCTCTAATTAAACTAAAGAGCTTCTGCACAGCAGAAGAAACTATTATAAGAGTGAACAGACAACCTACAGAATGGGAGAAAATTTTTGCAACCCATCAATGTGACAAAGATCTAATATCGAGCCTGTAAGAAACTTAAACAAATGTACAAGAAAAAAAACAGATAACTCCATTAAAAAGTGGGCAAAATTCATGAACAGATACTTCTCAAAAGAAGACATTTAGCAGCCAACAAATGTATGAAATAAAGCTCAGCATCACTGATCATTAGAGAAATGCAAATCAAAACCACAATGAGATATCATTTCACGCCAATGAGAATGGCAATTATTAAAAAGTCAAGAAACAACAGATGCTGGTAAAGATGCAGAGAGATATAAATGCTTTTACATTGTTGCTGGGAATGTAAATTAGTTCAACCATTGTAGAAGACAGTGTGGCGATTTCTCAAAGACCTAGAACCAGAAATACCATTTGACCCAGCAATCCAGTTACTGGGTATTTACCCAAAGAAATATAAATCTTTTTATTATAAAGATACAGGCATGCATATGTTCATTGCAGAACTATTCACAATAGTAAAGACATGGAATCAACCCAAATGCCCATCAATGATAGACTGGATAAAGAAAATGTGGCACATATACACCATGGAATACTACTCAGCCATAAAAAGGAATGAGATCATGTCCTTTGCAGAGACATGGATGAAGCTGAGAGCCATCATCCTCAGCAAACCAACACAGGGAAAGAAAACCAAATGCTGCATGTTCTCACTCATAAGTGGGAGCTGAACAATGAGAACACATAGACACAGGGAGGGGAACAACACACACTGGCCTGTCGGTAGTGGGGGAGTGTGTGGGGCTGGTTGTGGGGGTGGTGGAGAGAGAGCATCAGGAAAAATAGCTAATGCATGCAGGGCTTAATACCTAGGTGATGGTTTGATAGGTGCGGCAAACCACCATGGGACAAATTTATGTATGTAACAAACCTGCACATCCCACACATGTACCCCAGAACTTAAAATAAAATTTTATAATACAGTAAGATAAACGAATTCTGTATAAGTCATCACATAGTACAATGCTGACTTGTGGAGTAGAGCCACCAAGGACTCTGTATTCCTCCTCCTTCCCACATCAAAAGTATCCTTGGCTACTGTAATCTGACTTTTCTCTCCAGTCTTAATTTCAAGAACTCTGAGAAGCTGGTGTGGATGAAAGAATTTTCATTTACAGCTTTCCCTCCCCTTTCCGCATCTCAATTCTAACATTACAATGCTTATGCCCCTGAGAAGCTGTATCAGTGTAAAAAGTTTCTGTGTCCATGTGCATGTGTGTGATCTATCATTCCAACTGGATTGTCAATAACCTAGATAAAGAAACAATGCCTTTGACATTTTCCCTTAGGGAAAAAGTTGACATTATTTATATTTTTTGCAATTCCTCAATAGGATAAACAATCTTACCTATTTTGAGTAGAGGGGTTTTTAACACATTTTGGGACAATCTTGGCCCTCAAATACTCTCTGTCAGTTTTTCTTTTTACTAACAACAGCAGCTATTGAATAACTAAATGAGATTAGAGATATCACCTGAGGGTATTTTTCTCTTTGTGAAACCATTTTTTTTTCTGTGCTTAATGCAAAATTAAGACCAAGTGTCATGTGAATTATCCCTTCCATTAATCATCTGTATTTTATAATTACTATGCTATAAAGAAAATGATCTCTTTATTATTTTCACCCAAATTATTTACATCGAGGTTTTCCATAAACGTAATGACAGAGAAAACTGAGACCTCTTGGGAAGATTTCCATTGAAGGATACATAGGGTCATTTGGAGAAGGTTGAAGCAGACAAGTGACTCATCTTTAATTCAATCCCAGGGCAGGCACTAAACGGTATAGAAAAAAGAAGGTTATTTTTACCCGATTATAACTACCAGAAGCAGATTGATAAATTTGCAGGCCATCAGAACTTTAATTCACTTAGAATTAAACTATATTTGTTAAAAGAATAAGGATAATTTAAACGGAATTTTGTCTTCCTCATATTTTACTCAATAGTGGTATGATAGCTTTGGGAAATTTGAAGTAACTTTAAACCCAAGATAAAGTTAGTCTTTGGAAAACTGTGTGTGAAAGTTAGGGCTACAAATTATCGTTTAAGAATTATCTCACCTGGTAGATATTCTAATTTTATTTAACAGCTTTTTTCTTTTTTTTTTTTTTTTTTTTTTTTTTGAGACGGAGTCTCGCTCTGTCGCCCTGGCTGGAGTGCAGTGGCGCGATCTCGGCTCACTGCAAGCTCCGCCTCCCGGGTTCACGCCATTCTCCTGCCTCAGCCTCCCAAGTAGCCGGGACTACAGGCGCCCGCCACTACGCCCGGCTAATTTTTTGTATTTTTAGTAGAGACGGGGTTTCACCGTTTTTAGCTGGGATGGTCTCGATCTCCTGACCTCGTGATCCGCCCGCCTCGGCCTCCCAAAGTGCTGGGATCAGCTTTTTTCTTAAAATTGTGAAAATAAAATTGACTTAACTACATAGGGCCCTTAACCATTTCTTCAGTCCTTTATCCTTTTCCCCACCTCCCTTCCTCCCTTCCCACCTTGTCTTGCCTCAGTGAACAGGAATAAGTAGCTTTAATGCACCAGGTGATATGTTATGAAAAAGCAAAACATGGATAAAACCCAGCTTCTGTCCTCAATGAGCCCTATTTTGTTTTATTTTTATTTATTTTTTATGTATTTTTCTGAGACAGAGTCTCACTCTGCTGTCCAGGCTAGAGTGCAGTGGCACAATATTGGCTCACTGCAGCCTCCGCCTCCTAGGTTCAAAGGATTCTCATGCCTCAGCCCCCCAAGTAGTTGGGATTACAGGCACACACCACCAGGCTTGGCTAATTTTTGTATTTTTAGTAGAGACAAGATTTCACCATGTTGGCCATGCTGGTCTTGAACTCCTGCCTCAAGTGATCTGCCTACCTTGGCCTCCCAAAGTGCTGGGATTACAGGTGTGAGCCGCCACCCCGGGCCGATGAGCCCTATTTTAATAGGGAGAAATAGAAGCATGAACAACTCTGTGCCATCAAGTGTGGGTGTTCTTGTCTCTCTTCCATTTACAATTCTCCCAAGTGTCTTTCCGGATTCTTAAAATACGTATGTAAATAAACTTCCAAAAGCATTAAACTTAAAAAAGAAGTATTAAAGGTTAAGATTAGGTGAATGCATTCTGGTGATATTTTATAAACCATTGACTGCTCAAAACCTTATTTTTTGATATTGAAAAAGCTTTGTAACTGAATTTAGCAAGCAAAGGGGTCACCAAACATACTCAACTTCTGTGGTCCTTAAACATCATTTTGTTCATTTGTTTTACATGATTCCTTGATAACTGATTCATTCCTCTGAATATTTGTATACAAACAGTCACATATACTTCATGTTCTCAATTTGTGTTCTGCATCAACAATGACAAATGAAAGTTATAACAACATGATATGTGAAAAGTGTTATAATGGTAGTGGAATGGAAGGAGATACTATACTCATATTATTATCCAACATATAGAATGATTAAATTTTAATCATTGTGTATATATTAAATGATATTTAAAATATTTATAACATTTCAAACATTGATTATGTTTTATTTCTCTTTATACTACATTAGTCATATTATTCAATTTTTAGAGTTTATCCAATACACATATATAATGTGATGAACATTAGAGGTATCTGTTTAGGTCTTCATGTGCTTCAATTACGTGACAGTTGTGAAAACACAAAGTTCTTAACTGAGTAATTCCTTTACCATAGAACTAATAAAAAGCAACACACATTGATTCAATTATCTGCTGCTTTGCTTTGCAGTAGTTAATTAGAATGTCCTGATATGTGTATAATACATATTTATAGTCAGGAATTAAAAGTATTTTAATTCCTGACTAAAATCTTTTTAATTCAAGCCTATAGCAAATGTATCAATATTTGAACTACAACCAATTTAGGAAATGCACTAAACTCAACCCAACAAGGCTTTAGGTTATCATTATTCCCAGATTACACATCTCACCAGATTTAAAACTTTCATTTTCTTTTAGATTAAATTTAAATCCCCATTCGAAGTCTATAGGATTACAAACCAAACAAATAACCTAATATTTTTATTCTTTTACTTAATATGGCTTGTATTATACATACTGAATTGGGAAACATTTTCTCCTATCCCCCTCACAGGACGTGTGATGGGGGTTGTGGCTCACTTCTTTGGTGCCCGGCAGTTCAAACTCCTAAGGGGAGCATGCAGACGGGCAGGTATGGGAAGCGCAGCATCCAGGGTTGAGTGTTTACAGCTCCTGAAGCCCCAGTGGGCGTGTATTACATTGCGCTCTTTCAGCTTAGCGGTCCACAGGCAGCTTGTGTTAATCAGCTCAGTTAGACCCTCTGCCTTACTGCAAGGACAGAGGGCTTTCTGTATCCCTGGTTCTCTCCTTAGTGTACTCGAAAAATCAGAGCACACGTGAGCTTGGTGGACGGGTGCAAGGTTTTTTATTGAGTGGTGGAAGCGGCTCTCAGAAGATGGATACAAAGCAAGAAGGGGGATGGAATGGGAAAGTGGTCTTCCCCTGGAGCCAGGCCATTCAGCAGCTGGGCTGTCCTCTGACTGCCCTTGGCCGAATTTCCCTGGGTGTGCCTATCATTCCTCAGTCCATGGCCTGTCGGCATCTGTCGGTGTGTTCTTCTGCCACTGTGCTCCTCTTGCCATCCAGCCACCTCTGTGTGTGCCCTCTAGGGTCTCAGAGTTTTTATAAGCAAAGGATGGGGAGTATGGCAGGCCAGAGTGGTCTTGGAAAATGCAACATTTGGGCGCTAAAACAGAAGTGCCTGTCCTCACTTAGGTCCGTGGGCACAGGCCCGAGGGTGGAGCCTTCACCAGGGACCTTGCCCTTCTTTACCCAGCACTTCCCTGCGCTTGCACCCCCAAGTCAATACCACATATAGTTCAGGGATATCTCTACCCTTCCAGAAAAAAGGGCTGAAAAACTTTCCTCCTCAAGCTGTAGATTTATGAGCTAACAGAAGCCTCCAAAGAGAAACACCTCCTTGGCTAACACAGCTACCCTAAAAGCTGCTCTAGAGGTGTGACTTTTACTTTATATAAAGTGGCTAATTAGCCCCTCCTGGGTTCTTTATTTAGCAACGACAGAACCCAAGTGTTTTGCTTGGTACATGATGATTTAACCTAAATTTTGGAAAAATTACCAAAATCGTAAATGTCAAATATCTTTTAAATCAGTGATCCCTTTTATGAAGATCTAGCCTATGAAATCAATTAAAATGCATAAAATACTTTATATTATAATATATCCATAATATTTCTAGTAATATATAAATAAAAGTTAAATTAATTATGGTACTCAAAATTAATGGTATATTATAGATGCAATAAAATATTTTTGGAGTCTGTAAAAATGAAAAACATATTATATTAGATTAATTTCAATAATTACATGAGCATTTGAATAATGTAATTGTTTTCTTAAAGTCACAATAATGTTAAAGACATACACCTTCCAGTTAATAAAAAAACTAAAAAACATGTTATTTGGATAATCCACATTTTGTTTTCTGAGTCATAACCAGAACATATTTGGAAAAGAATCTTTTCCCTATAGTTCAGGGAAAATTCAGAGACAGAATAAAAGATAAGGATGCTAAAGGTGCTATTCAAATGTCCTCTAGCCCTCAAACACAGATAAAATTATTTTTAAAATACTAGGTTTAAAATGATGTTTAAGTTGTAAGACGTATTCCATGGGTTTTAATCAATGTTGTTGAATATAAAAATGAAGAAAGGTAACCATTTGCTTCTGTATATTTGGTGGTTTGATTTCTTAGAATATGGATATATACAAAAAGAAATTTAAGAGAACACAGAAGAAGAGATAATGAGAAAGAAAGAAAGAAAGAAGAAAGAAAGAAAAGAACGAACCATGAAAAAGAGAAATGAATAAGAAAAGATATCTGTATATAGTAACATAAAATGAGAAGTGATGTAATTCTTACCAAAGGTTTAACTATCATGCAGAGCATGATACATATTTTGGAAAAATGTGGGAGTTTGCTTTGTTAAAGGAAAATTAAAGTTTAAGCTAGTGTTCCAAAAAATCTTTCTGATGAGGCAATCTATTTGATTAAGGATTCAGGGGTGGAAACATTAAAGCTAGGTTGTTCAAAGCACTCAGGCTCTCTCAGAGTGGCTTTGCTCAGAAAGCAGGCATCGAAATTATGTGAGGCACCCTTTCCCTTTCCAATTTCTACAATTTGTGTTTCAAATCAAAGTCAGAAAGCACACACATCAAGATCTTAATTTTGGAACCAAGCCCGGAATACAAATTACTCTAGTTTAAATGTCTTAAAGGCCTGATTCACTATTTTTCTCTCATTCTTTGTGTTTTCTATTGCCTTATCAAAACTAAGAGTTTTTATTTGTTTTAAAAAAGTGCTTGTTTTGAATGTGACAACTTTTGAAAGGATAAGAATCATGTCAAAGGACTGCATTATCACACAATTAACAAGGTGGGGATTACACTGCATCACTTCATCAACATGATTCACTACTAGTGTATAATAGCAAGAAAACACCTAAAACTGCACACACTGCTATGACTTTTCTGGAAAAAAAAAGAAAGCCTTATGGGATAAGCAAAAGGCTACTTTCTTGACAGCTGTGTAAAATATTTAGGTGCTAATGTTTCTAAATGAAAGGGCTGTAAGTGTCAAGCTTTTTAAGCAACACCAGTGCTCAAACTACCAGTGTATTATTAGCTCTTACGTGACTTACTTTTAATATAGCTAGTCATTCACCAAGGCTAACTTTGGAATTTTTCCTTTTTAAAGGTAGTTTATATGTTGGCTTCTAAAACTAAATGCTTTTATTTCTAGGAATCGAAAAAAATACATTATTTCTGTTACTGTGAAATCATACTGGAACATTGATCAAAATACCAGTGATATTTTCCTCCTAGAAAGGCCATGAGAAGTGCATTGCATTATCAACAAAGACCAGCTGAAAAATAGTGTTGTTGTGGTTTACAATAAATACAGTAATCTAAATGGTATTTCACTAAGGCATTCTTTTAAATGAATAGACATTTCATAATCCTGATTTTTGAAAGTGAGGACTCTAAATATTTATCACTCTTCCTTTCTAAGGAATTGCAGGCTTATGGATGCTAATCATATGGTCAGTAGGTGGCAGCATAGCTCTTTGGTTGCTTGAAATAAACGGTTTCAAATTGAAAGTAGCTGAAAGCACTCTCCTCACTGGTGATTTAAAAAGAAAGAAGAAAAAAGGTTTTCTGTATGCTTCATATGTTTCTTTTATTTTCACTCCATATTCATACATGAGTATATAATATTTATATTAGTTTTACAGAAAATTAGTAATCTGCTCTGCCCTTTTAAACACATTCTGTAATATGTGTGCTATCTTAAAATATAATTTTCTTTTTAAAATCCTAATATTTTAAAGCATAAAAAGAAACTTATAAATCTTCTACTTCAACTGTATCGTTTTACAGATAAGAAGTAAAAAAAAAAAATAGAAGCCAGGAAAGTTGAAGCCATGTGTACAACCACAAGTAGTTATAGAAATAAATTCATCTTCATTAAAAGCTTATCTGGAACAAGTTTTTTTGCAACAGTGTTGAAATATAAATTAGAGAATACAGACAACTACTCATACTTTTTTCATATTTTAAAGTAAAAAGTTTTCTCTCTCCCTCTTTTTTTTGGTAAGGTTAGATAAAATTATCAAAAGGCCATTGATAAGTGGCAGTCATTTTTTCTGAGCACTGAAACATGATTAATCCAATAACATTATTAGATTAAATGACTAGTCAATGCCAGCTGCTATGACCACTTTAAACGATGAGATGTCAGCTTAAGTAACCATTGGTCTTGAATCTCTCAGAATGTTTTTTGATTGTTATTCAGAATGTATCTCTACACACATAAAGCCTGGGTTGTTAGAGAGGGAAGTAAAGTCCTACACAAACTTCCTGTTCCTTACCTTCCTGAACTCCTCACCAAGCTCCCTCTGTGGCTATTTCACTCCTAACACACAAGGTTGCTGCTGTTCCTAGAGGGAGCCAAGTTTTTTCCAGGCCTGGCTCAAGCTTTTGTATTCACAAAAATACTCTGGCCCCAAAGATTTTCAAGGATTGCTTGCTTCTCTTCTTTCAGTCTTGGTACAAATGTCACCATAGCAGTGAAAGTACATGAGGTTTCTGATCATCTTAAATATAATTGCAACCCCTGCCTCCCCTTGTCATTTTTCCTATCTATATTCTCTTAGTTTTTCTATTGCACTAATCAACATTAGCAAATAATATATTTAATTTTTTATCAATTTATTAGTTTGTTATTTTCCTTACTAGAATGTAGGGCTCAAAAGGCCCCAGATCTTGTTTTCTTTTGTATTTCCACACATAAAGTAGTCCCTAGAAAATAATAATAATTCAATAAATTGAAGGTTGGTTTTGTTCTTTTTAATAAAGATTTTGTGATCCTTTGAAGAAAATTGTGAATAGAAGAGAGTGCTACTCTTTAGGTTGTGATGTATTAGCATAGAGTTTACTTTGTAGTTGATAGATTGTGTTGTGTTTGTTTTTATAAGTTTCTGTATCTTTGTTAGTAGCTGATGGTTGTTGCAAGTAAAAACAAATGAGAATATTAATAGCACATTAAACTTGCTAGATGCTTGGTGGATTTCTTTGTCTCCTTGTCTTCTTTCTCTGTTTCTTATTCTTTCTGTTTTTCTTATTTCTTTTTTACGACTATATAAAAAGTACATGAAGTCAAACTAAGGAAGACTGACTTTGAAATTTTAGTAAGTAATCTCATTTAGACACAGAAAAATAAAATATGGGGTTTATTTTTAAGTTACAGTCATAGTTTTGACCTTGACAAGTTTATTAATATGTTACCCAGCCTGAGATAATCAACTCTGGACGTTCTGTTTGCGTGACCTTCCATAACTAGAGTGGCATTTGGTGGTGAGAAAGCTGATTTTCATGGCTAATCACATATCTTTGCTACCTTGTAGCTGTGTGATTATAAACTACCTTATGTAGCTTACAGCTCAGTAACAAGTGATGTCACAAGAGATGCTAATAATATGTGGGCATTTTTCTTGTTAAGTGAATATCGATCAGACTTCTAACACTCAGTTTGTAGGGAGGATTTTATTACCTCAAACACCATCTTATGAAAAACATAGACACTGTGACTTGTAGGTTATTCAAACTCTCATAAGTGTAAAATTCTATAATCCATAGCCAAAAAAAATGCATTATGCAAACCAGCTCACCTCGCCTTAAGCTCACACTATACTTATTTGTTCTATGTTTAACAATATATTTTTATGAAAGAATGAAACTTTATATTTACACAAGCTACCTATGAATAAATTAATTGCTCTAATAATAGCTTTGTTTTATAACACTGTCACCAAGAATCAAAGTAAAAGAAAGAAAAAACTCTCATTATTACAAAAATAAAATTAAAGAAAAACATTATATATATATATATATATATATATATATATCCTCTTTTAAATCATCAAAAATTAATATTGGTCACTATGAAATATGTTGCTCGAAAATAGTAAGGAAGATGAAAAGAATGGATCAATGAGATGATGGGCAATTTCTCATCTATATTCAGGCATGGCCAGCTCCTTCAAAAAATAGTGCAGGGGAATAAAAATGAAAAGCTGTCAAAATTTCCACAATCACTCTATCTTGCCCTGAAATGGATAGATATTTTATATATTAATGTAATTAAATACTAGACAGTGTTCAGGGGAATAGAAGAAATATAATTAAAAAACTACAAATGATAGTCATATCAAAAATTCCATTTTAATCTAAATTTTGAGGAAAAAATGCATTTACAAAGCAAGTGTTGGCAAAACAGAGGCACAGGATTTTTTTACTGGTATTTACTATGTGAATGATCATATGGCATATTGTAACTTTCAATGTTTTAGAAGAAAGGTCTAGGTAAATTAGCCATATGATGAGGAAAATCAGCCAATAAGCCACCTGTAGTTTTGTTTGCACAACAACAGGATGCACCTATAGCTAATTCTTCTGATTTTAGATATCACAATCTGTACCATGTTCAAACATAAAACAAATATCCATAGATATAGATTCCTTCAGTTGCAGCTATGTAAGTTAACAGTGTTTCTGGGGTACAAAGTTTTAATGGCACTGAGACTGTATATGACAGTGATCATGTGGAGAACATACCAATATTTCTGGAAAACTTAAAAAATATCCTCTCTCATGAATACAACGCGTTCTCCTTATTCATTTAAAATAATATTTTTCTAGATTACGAACTTTGAAATAAAGTTAATTATAACTGTTCCTTATTAAAATTATTACTAAAGATTATATTCCTGAATAAATGTAGGTATAGGTATATACAGTTTGTTTAAAAGTAGGTCTTTTTATATCATGTTTTAAAACCTGTTCTACTATGCTCCTGTATTGTGTTTCATTCACACCAATGTTGCATTCCTTCTCTTTTACAGTAATGACTCGTGTTTCTGTCCTCTCAGTTGACTGTGAAAGTACTGCCAATTCCTTGGGTAAAGAAACCATGACTTTTTACCATTTTTTGCAGTTCAAGAAGCTAATTCAGTGGCTGATATAAAATATTAGGGAACAGATGTTTAGTAAAGAGCTCATAAATGCAATGCAGTGTTTTCTCTCTTAAAGCTTTCCAAGGTTTATAGAGAGTAACAAGTGAAATACGATAGCCCTTGACAAGCTATTTTGATTTATTTAATACAGTTGTGAGCTATTATAGAAAGATTATTATAGAAAAATTTATTTAGTTTTTTGTTGCTTTTTATTTTTAAAATAATAGATAAGAAAAGGAAGCTATTTTCATTAAGGCATACAACTGAAAAGTTCTTTAAAGGGTGATTTTGATAAACATTTGTGAGAAAATGCAAAAAAACCGCACAAAACTAGGAACAATCTCACTACATTTTGAGAAAGTGATTAATAGCTGCTAGTTACATTCCTTTAAAAAAAATTCTTTTTGACCAGCAATCAAAGACTTCTGAAATCAGATTTTGTTCTTTCTGGTATATTTCACGTTTGAATACAAATACACATATACTTTTATATTGCTTGCCAAGAATAACATCAAAATAAAAATGATTTGCTTTCTGCATTTTTTTTCTCAAGGCAAGACATGTTGTTATCATTTTTCTGTGTAATACCCGGACATAAAACTCTGAGTGTAGAAATGATCACATTTCTTTTTGAATATCCAATTATGTGGTTGAAATAAAACTATTATTTTCTTAGAAATATATGTGACAAAAGGGTCTTAAAAACACAGGGGCTTGAGAAAATTTAAAAAAAAGAATATAGTGAAGTATAGGCCTGTATCATTACATATCACTTGTGTCATTACACTACATTTTAAGTGCCATTAAAATGATTAAAAATGTGAAACTGATTTCTTGTTATGGTTGTTTTAAAGCATCTGTTCTCTTTTTAACAATTTTGGTGTGAGTATGTGTTTATGGGCCTTATAAGGCAGCATCTCACAAATCAGCATCTGCATGTTCTAGGGACCTACTCTGGGCTTCCTCTAGTATCTAAATGTAGAAGGATCCAGTCAAAAGTTAAGATATTCACACCAACATGGCACATGTATACATATGTAACAAAACTGCTCGTTGTGTACATGTACCCTAGAACTTAAAGTGTAATTTAAAAAAATACTTTCTATTAAAAAAAAAACAAAGTCAAAGTATTCTCCTATGCTGCCCCTGGTACTAGATTGTAATTAGCACACAGATCCATCAAGCATATGTACCTGTCTTTTCAAATACACAAAGTAGATACATTTTAACATGAAATATTTTAAAGTTAAAAACAATTTGTAAAATTATCTATACTATAGAAAATAATATATACTATGCTGTGACATTTTATGCATTTTTATTTACATGTAAATAAAATTTTTACATACATACAAATTTTTACATACATACAAAAATTACACTATGTTTTTGACATTAACTTGCAATTCCTCCTCCTTAAAGGTTGGTGTAGCTCTTACTGGGTATGATTTGATGCACTATTGTTATAGTGTTTTTCAGTCTCTCCACTACTTTCATCTCCTGCTAATCTTTTCACATGTCCTCATGCCAACCTACATCTCTGTCTTTGTGCCAGAATGATTACTTCTGTTAAGTTTAACTGTATTCACTTAGAATAAAGACATTAAAACATTTTCCCCGTAGAGATTTTAAGCCATATGTTTTTAAAAGTGTTTTGGGTGTACGCTGTATGCTGAAAACCATTAGCAAATTTTAAAATCATTACTATTACCATTTTCTTCAACTCATCTAAATTGACTTGCTTCAATAACAAAGATATTGAATTAAAAATAAGTACCTAAAATGTTATGAAACCAATAATATTTATAGGATAGCTATTCAAAGCCTACCAATAAGATAAGAACTACATAAGGATAAAAAACAAACAAACAAACAAACAAACCAAAAACCTCTTTCAGGTCTTCTCAAGAAACAAAATTAACTGATACTGCAGTATTTTAACAAAACTATTCTAGGGACTAAAATAATTATGTATCATCCAAGAGAAAGAAAAATAGGCCATACTTTGTTTCCTTAAATACAAGGGCTTCAAATAAAACAGTATTTGAGTTGCTTCTTCTCTTTGTAGAGCCTAGTAGCTGATGTTATTTCTTTTCTTTACCTGTATTTTTAAAAAGACATATTTACTTAGCCATTTCATCTCTTTATTTGTTATTGCATGGGTGATTGATTGATGGTTAGTGACATTGCATAAATCTCAGCTTATGTCAAACTGTGGCAAAGTGAAATGGGAGGAAACTTGTCATCATTATTTGACCTTTACTTTAATGCAACTCTTATCAACTGCCACTTAGCTTTGGGAATATACTGAGCAATGCAGTGCCTGCCCTCTAATTATATTTTTTAAAAATAGAGTACTCTGTTTACATACTAAATGTTAGTCTACAAGTCATAGTTATTGTTAATATTGCTGTATCTACCTGTGACTTTAGAAAATAATTATCCTTGTTCGTGAGTTTTTCCATGTGTAATAATGATTTTCACATTACTACTGTATAAATTGAGCAATATAGTTTGACTCACTCTTGGTTAAAATAGTAAAAAAAAATGCCTAGAAACAGCCAATATGATATAAAAATGACTTGCCAGTTGGCCTAAGCTCAAAATGACAAATGTTTTACCTATCACATGTAAAAATATTGTTGGTAGAAGTATACTCAATTAGATTCATTCATTAATTTTTAAGCAATTTAAAGATATTGACACATTGCAATGTTTTGGAAAAGAAGTCATCATTGGGTTAATTTTGTGGTTAGGAGTACTATTTGAGTATTTAATATATATAAATATATTTAGTTTATATTATTCGTAATATTTAGTAAGAATTGATGCCATATTTGGATGCTGACATTTTAAAGATTAAATCTAACCAAATCACATGCTCTCTACCTAGAGGCATTAATGTAATTTGATTAAAATATTTATCCAATTTATTTTTATGCAAATAAATAATACTTAAGATAGTTACTAAAAAGAATTATTTTTCAAAATTATTGTGAATCTTTAACTTATATGTTTATTTTGAAAGTGGTAAATATAGACATGTTTATTTAAAATAGGAAAATTAAAAATTTATCTCATATATGTTATGTTACCTAGGACCAAATTGCTTTTCTCACTTTAAAGAATAATTAAATTACAGAAAAAGACATGAGACAAATTTTTTTAAAGAAAGCTTGTGATTTTGAGAAAAGGAGAACAAACAAAGTTAGCACAACTTTCACTTAGGCTTTCTGGCTGGGGAAACCTTTTTCACCAAAGTACAATAAATTGGACTCCAATGAAAGTACAGCAGCCTCACTGAGCTGAAGACAAATGGAGTTCAGGCAACTTAAGTGGTTGAAATTTTAGTAGGGCAGGTTACTGGAAATGAGGGAGTGCTGAGAGTGAGATCTCAAAATTTGCAGGGGGTTCCATATGTTCGTGACTTGAAGATAATTTGCACATGTGGAGATTCCTCTGGAGGCTGTGGGAAAGTAATTGCTGCAGGGTAGCTAAGAACTGAGAGAAGTAACATAGTTTGAAAAGTCCTGAAAGACACTGGAGTTACAGCCGAGCCAGATGGTAGAAACCTTGCTGAACGTGGACATCCAGTTGAGATTGTAGACATGTCAAAACTTGGGAGAAAAGACTATCTTTGAATTAAAAAACCATACCCAGGTTTAAAAAGCAGGAAAACAAAAGCAAATACACAAATAGCTCCCACAAAGAACAAAACCAAGTCTGAGAGTATGAAAATAATGTGTCAATAATTTAACTGCTTACAAAACTAAAACTTTAAAGGTTTTGTAGTCTCACTGCAGTGTATCATCCACAGCACCTGTCTGAGAAGATAAAAAGACAGTGGATATAAAAGGAATAAAAAATTGTAATTCTTAAAAAAGAAAAAAAACAAGCGTACGAGGAGGAAAGAAAATGAGACCAATAACCAGGCGAAAAATCAATTAATAGTAACAGAATAGAAAACATGACTAAGACTATAGAATTAGCATAGGAATATCAAAATAGCTATGGTAATTTTATTGCATATGTTCAAGATTGTATAGGAGAGCAGGAACATTATGAATAAAGAAATAGCAGATATAAAAAAATGACTCAAACTGCTAGAGATAAAAAATGCAAAATAAAATAAAAAATATACCAGATTTGTACACGAGCAGATTGGACACCCCACAAGATAAGATTTGTGAAGATGCAAAGAGAAAAAATCTGACAAAATGAACAGAATTTCATATTGTCTTTGGGACATTATCAAGAAATACAACATTTATGCAATTTGAGTCTCAGAAGTTGGGGGAGGCAGAAAAGATTTAAGATGATTGCAAGTTTTTTTTTCTAATTTCATGACAACTATGTACTCATGGATCCAAGAAGCTCAACAAACTTCAAGCAGAAAAACAAAAAAAAAGGAAACTTCACCAGAAAATATCTAAATCAAATTGACAAAACTTGCAACAAAGAATAATCTTGGGCCAGAAATAAGAATTATGACTTGCAGAACAATCAACATAAGAATGACAGCAGCCTTTTCAAAAGAACTCCCACAGGCCAAAAGATAATAGAAGGTAATTTTTAAAGTAATGAAAGAAAACTAAACCATTAAGCTACATTTCTATATCCCAAAAAGTTTTTTTTTAAATAATGGTAAAAGGGTTGATTTCTAGTGTGACAGCATCAGAAGCTTCTCTGACCTGCTTCCCAGTGAAACTGGTGGACATTATTTAAAAACGCACACACCCACACAATCATTTAAAGCCTCTGGAGATGGTCCTCAAGGGAAGTGGCTAATAGAGAAACATCTACTCAAGAAAACCTACAAATTTCAGTAAGAAAAGCAAAAGTCTGTGGCAACTGAACCAAGATTGATTCCCCCTACCACAAGTTCAGCAAAGCAAAATCTACACTCCAGACTCCTGAAGCCAAGAATACAGGGTTTCCCTTTCTTCCCAATTCCCAGACAGAGGAGTTTTTTTCCCAGGAGGAAAATGACCTTAGAGCTTCTCATCCTGACCTCAGCTACCTGGTGCCAAGGCTAAATCATGGGCAAGTGCAATCCAAAGGTGGGGGATCCCTCTATACAACCCCTACTCATGGAATCCAGGTTCTGCTATGAGCGTGGAATGTTGAGGATACTGGACCTTCATATCTCTTCCTCCAGTTGTGAGGTGGTGGACTCACACCAGGAGAGAAACAACAGGCTGTTACTTGCTCCCTCCACTGCATGCTCAGCTCCTAAAGCAGGGATGTCACTCAGAAGGAAATTTGCCATTGTTCTCATCTCCAGCTCTAGAGCTCTAGATAAGGGATGTTCCTCAGGGGAGAGCAGGATGTAAGATAAACAGCTCCTAGTCTCTTCCCAAATAAACTGACATTTTTTTTTTTTTGCAACAGAATTTGGAGAAGTTTAAGCCCAATGGCACTCTTAAGAGCAGTGGAAATTGTAGTGAAAGTCAATTGGGAAAAGATCAATGTATCTAACAAAGATACAGCCTATACAAGACGCAGACTGATAGGTACAGGAAAAGTGGGGAATAAGACAGCTGAGGGGAACACTCAAAATATCAAATAATAACTTCAGACATTCTTCCCTCAAAGGAGACATAATTTGACTGGATTAGTTTGTAGAGTAAGTTATGTCCCAAGGACTTACTGAAAACAGTAGAGGAATTGACTAGAAAGGAAAATAGTGGACTTTCATAAAGGGGTGTGGTCAGAGAAAGAATGGAAGAGAGTCCTACCAGTACCGTGGTTATCCCTTGATGACTGAGGGCATACTAAAGGCTGCTCCTCTTTAAAGAGGATTATATGAGGGCTAACACTGAAAGAGGAGAATAGAGAAATATTTCACTAAAACAATCCAGACATTCGCTAAACTAACAAATAAGCAAATTACAATAACAAGCCCAGGAGAGGAGATAATACCCAGATAGTACCTAGAATACCTAAAATATATTATCTAAAATTTCCACTTTCCAACAAAAAATTATGAGACATTCAAAGAAATAGAAAAGTATGACCTGTACCCTACAAAAAAAAAAAAAGCAGGCAAGAGGTAGTGCCCGTGAGAGTAGTTTTCTAACTAATAATGAATCATATTCAAATAAAAGATTGATAATTACCTGGGCTTGCACCTGTTAATTGCAGCACTTAAGGAGACAGACGTGAGAGAATAGCTTGAGCCCCCTGCTGGGGATCATAGTGAGAACCCGTTCTCCGCAAAAAGAAAGAAGAAAATAAGACAAAAAAAATAAAATTAACCATTAAAAGCATACTCACAAAAGTAATTAAAGAAGACATGTATATTGACAATGTTGCCTCAAGTAGAGAATATCAATAAAGAGATAGAAACTATTTTTAAAAAAGAATTAAATGGAAATTCTAGGATTGAAAGTTCAATAGCTAAAATAGTTTTTAAAGATTCATTGAAGTGGTTCAACAGAAGACTTGAACCAGTCAAAGAAGAAATAAGCAAATTTGAAGTTTGATTGATCGAGATTATGTGAGCCAAAAAGTAGAGAGAGAAAAATGGTGAAATGAACAAAGCCCTGGAGAAAGGTAAAACACCATTAAGTGCACCAATATACACATAATAACCGTATCATAAGAAAAGGGAAGAAAGAGAAAAAAATTCAAAGAAATAAATAATGGTTGGAAATTTCAAAAATTTATTGAAAAATATTGAACAACACACAGAGGAAGCTCAATAAAGTCCAGGTGGAATAAACATAAAGAAAACCACAGAGACACCTCATGGAAAAAAATACTGATATTCAAAAACAAGGAGAAAATCTTGAAAGCAGCAGAAGAAAAATGGCACATCTTTACAAAGGAAACTCAGTAAGATTAACAGCAGAAACGCTCAAGGCCAGAGGCAAAAGGAAAATATATTTAAAGTTCTCAAATAAAATAATGACAACCAAGAACCCTATATCCAGCAAAAATATTATTAAAAAGTAAAGGTGAAATAAAGGCCTTTTCAGATAAACAAAAACCAAGAGAAGTTATAGCTATCAGACTATCTTATAAGAAAAGCTAAGGGAAATTCTCCAGACCGAAAGCAAGTGACTCCAGACAGTAATCCAAATGTATAAGAACAAAGAAAGAGCACTGGTAAGGGTAATTATGTAATTACAAAAGGCAATTTAAAGGCATTTTTTCCTTTTTGAAAAACTGATTTAAAAACCAATAAGTTCAAAGCATATTTACAAATAAGAATATTTTAAGAAATAAAATGTGATATTCAATTCCATTTTTTCATTTAAGAAAAAAAATCTTAGATGTCTAAGGACTTAGTTACATTGCTTCAAAATATGTAAAAGAAAACCAAATAGAATTCAAAGAAGAAATACAAAAATACAAAAATCCATACATACAGTTGTAAATTTTTAAGTCTCTCACTAATTAAAAGAAAATGTAAATAAGTAATCAGTAATTTGGACACTATCAACAAGTTAAGCAAATTGACTACTCTATCCCCAAATACATACCCTTTTTGAGTACAATTTGAACACTCACCAAGATAAACCACATGCTGTCAATGAAATGATTTAATAAATAAAGAGTACTAAAATTATACAAAGTATGAACTTTGATCACATTGGAATTATACTAAAAATCAGTATCAGAAAGAGAACTGAAAAGCCTCAAGTATTTGGAAATTAAGTAATATACTTCTAAATAAACCATGGGTAAAGATGATACACAAAGAAAAATAGAAAACATTTTGAACTGAATTAAAATGAAAACACAATACATTACAATTAGTGTGATAGAGCTAAAATAGTTCTTAGGAAAAAAATATTGTATTAAAATAGTTATGTTAAAAAGTCCTTAAATGAATGATCTCAGCTTTATTCAAAAAACAAAAACAAAAACAAAAAAAACTAGATGGGTGTGGTGGCAGGCACCTGTAAGTCCCAGCTACTTGGGAGGCTGAGGCAGGAGAATGGCATGAACCTGGGAGGCAGAGCTTGTGAGCCCAGATCGTGCCACTGCACTCCAGCCTGGGCAACAGAGTGAGACTTTGTTTCAAAAAAAAAAAAAAAAAACTAAAGAAGACAAAGCAATGTGAGTTTATGAAAAGCACAAGAAACAAAATAAGGAATATGAAAGTGGAAATTAATGAAATAAAAGATAGAAAAATGAACTAAATGACGTGTAGGTTTTAAGATCAATAAAATTGATAAACTTATGGTTTATCTGAATAAGAAAAATGAGAAAAATGCAAATTTCCAATATTAATAGAGAAAGTACAAACATCACTATAGAGCCTATATACATTAAAAGTATAACTTTGGTAAGTTAGATTAAATAGAAAAACTTCTTAAAAGACACCACTATCAAAGCTCACTCAAGAAGAAATAGGATAGTCATTCACATATTTACATTAGTAGTTTAAAATATTTCCACAAAGAGAACTCCAGGCCCAGGTGTACTGAATAATGAGCTCCATCAAATATTTAAAAAAGAAATATTTAACAGTTTTTAAGAAAGACATTCAGAAAATAAAAGAGCAGCAAACACTTCTCACCTTATGCATACAGATGCAAAAATTCTCAAACTAAACTATGTTTAGTTTAACAATTTTTCTTTCCTCTTCTTTTTTTCTTTTTCTTTTTTTTTTTTTTTTTGAGACAGAATCTAGTTCTATCACTCAGACTAGAGTGCGTGATCTCAGCTCACTGCAACCTCCACCTCCCAGATTCAAGCAATTTTCATGCCTTAGCCTCCTGAGTTGCTTTGATTACAGGCGTGCGCCACTATGCTTGGCTAATTTTTGTATTTTAGTAGAGATGGAGTTTCACCATGTTGGCCAGGCTGGTCTGGAACTCCCTGGCCTCAAGTGATCCACCTGCCTTGGTCTCCCAAAGTTCTTGGATTACAGGCATGAGACACTAAGCCCAGCCTTTTAGCAAATTTAATACAACAGTTTTTTAAAAGAGTATTCTGTATTATGACCAGATTCAGCCTAGGAATGCAAGGTTTAAAATTTGAATTCAGTGTAATTCACAATATAAACTAGAAAATAAAAATCATACGATTATCTCAGAATATGCAGTAAAAGTACTTGAAAAACTTTAATGTGCAGTCAAAATAAAAACTCTCAGGCAACTATAAATACAAAGACAATTTCTCAAACTGCTAAAGTACATCTATGAAAAACTTACTGCTAACATGATACTTATTGGTGAAACACTGAGTACTTTCTCTCTGGGAGAAAAAGAACACATATTTTTCACCTGAAACTATCTACTACAATATGCTCAGGATTCTGACCATTATACTTAATATTTGCTACTTAGTACTCAACATTTATTATACTTACACTTAATATTTGACATATCAATTATTATTTTCATTGCTATGCAATGAAAAGAATACAAAACTAGTTTTAACTAGTTAAATAGGTAATGTAACTTAACTCAGTTTTGTTTTGAGTCACGTTAGAAAAGACATCAAATAAAGGAAATAGATTTTTTGTGACAGGGACTAGGCTTGGTGCTTACATACATAAGTTATTTAAATTTTTCTCAAGCTTTTCTTTCTATACATTCTGTTCAAGCTTTTATATTCTAGTATTATAAAATTCTTTTAGGATTAATAAGCAATTCGTGTTTAAGGTTCTGTGTAATTCTACACCATGTTCTATTTAGATATGGCCACTTTTTTCTCAGAGTCTTAAATTCAAACATACAGGATAAGCAGAAAGAAACAAAAATTACCAAGTGAAAAAGTAGACAGGAATCTAATTTACAGATTATACAGATGAAGGTGAAGATATAATTGGACCAGAGTTCCAACTGGACAATGAAAATTCAAGCAATAAGAATTCCTGGAGGATTTAGGGCTTTGGAAATGGCGTGGATAATAGAGTGGCAGATTCTGTGGTGTCTTCCCTATTCAAAGTCAAGTCATCATTCTCCAGCTGTCCAGCATACTATCTTGGTTGCTGGCTGTTTACCGCTGTATTGATTCTGCAAATCACTTTAGTCCTCAGAAACTGCTCTATTTAAGATGACTCACCTTTCCAAGAGTGACCAGAAGATGGGTTCATGTGAAGATGCAAGGTTCTGGTCCTTTTGCCTAAGTTTGGGACCATTCTGAAGGTCCATCTTAGCTGCAGAACTATATGCAGGATTTGCTGAAGCCTTTGGTGCAATAACTTTGCTATAGCCCCTTACTCTGCTTAGTCCTGCCTTCTTCACTGCCTGATAGTTCTATCTCCAAGAGTGCTCCCCAATAAGCATTCTGCTCACAACTCCCTGCTTCAGAATCTATTTCCAGGGAACCCAATATAATACCATCAGTGAGAACTGAAGCAATACTTTCAAGAGAGTGGCTTGTCAGGTACATGGTGCTGTTTTTGAAAAGGCTCACTTTTCAGTGGATTGAGTAGTGGACAGGACATAGTGTGACTGAGATGTGTGAAATGGGCAGGATCATCACAAAAAAATAGTAAAGCTGCTGAATTTAAATAATAAACATTTTATTAAAAATATTTTCAGAAATTCTCTTTAAATCACTAAATAGAAAGCAAAGTTAGCTTCAAAAATAATTTACTTAAAAAGAAAGTGGTACAGAATCATTTAACAATGTGACACCTAGATCCTGAGACTGCCAAGTACATTCTGGCAGCATTGGCACTGAAGCCAGGGCAAATTTAAAGGGTGCCAACAGGAAAAGCTGGTGCCAAACTAATGCTGGAAATTGCTTAAACTTAAACACTAAAGCCAATTTGCTTTTACATCGCAATAAGATAAAATGAGGGCTACAATTAAACCTTTACCTGATAAACATTTTTGGTATCCACACCTAGCTATCTGTGAACTCATCATGCATCCCTCCTTCTTTACTCGTCCCCCTATATATCTACTAGGAATGAATCCAACCACCTGGTTTCTAAAATAAGAACTGTGAGAGCAGATTTAGAAACTTACTCACAAAATGCTTACATGCATTTGCTACCTCTAGCCCAAACCCGCTGCTACCTCTTCATTAATGTTCAAATTCTTCCTTATTGCTCCCCAATTCCATTTTTGGTTCTGTAAGGCTGCTGATCAGTATTGGGCAAATTATTGCAACAGCTTTCTTGCAACCAGTGTCTTCCAAACTAATACAAAAGTTCAAAGAATGAATATTCTAAATGCAAATTTAATCATGTTATCCTTCTTTGTAACATGTTCCATTGTTAAGACATGTCTCAGCCTTCTTACAACAGAGTAGAAGGCCCCAGTATTCATTTTATGAGTTACCTCTTCAAATATTTATCTTCACATCAAATCTTGAGGCCCAAATACATTATACTACTTTCAGGTTCCACAAATGTGGGCCTATTTACATAATTCTTCTTCCAGCAGATCCACAACTTCATATCTCAAAAATTAGTGTCATTAAGAATATTCTTTGCAAAAAAACAATTAGCTGAATTTTTTTAAAGAATTAAATGTGAATGAACGTAGTGTTGGTATGCATTCTCCAGTCAACTTTGGTTCTCCTGACTTGTATGACGTTTAGGCAAGTCGCTTAGATTTATCATTTTTTGTTTTTGTTTTTGTTTTAATGAGATGGGGTCTCACTATGTTGCCCAGGTTTTTCTTGAACTCTTGGCCCCAAGTGTTCCTCTTGCCTCAGGCTCCCAGAGTGCTAGGATTACAGGTAAGAGCTACCATGCCCAGCCCCAGTGTTTCTTTTTTATCACTACATTTCTCTAATGCACCAGCTGAAGGTTTTCTGACTGTATTTGTCTTCCTTAAGTTTTCCTCTTCCGTGTGTATAGAATCAGCTTCCTTTAAAATATATATAATAGCACTTTGAAATTGGTTTCTTATCTATTACCTTCATTTTGTCCCTTACTGACATTTTAAACATAAGAATGTGATATATGGACTCCCAGGCAAGATGGCCAAATAGGAAGAGCTCCAGTCAGCAGCTCCCAGTGAGACCAACACAGAAGGTGGGTCATTTCTGCATTTCCAACTGAGGTACTTGGCTCATCTGATTGGGACTGGTTAGACAGTGGGTGCAGGCCACGGAGGGCAAGCAGAAGCAGAGTGGGGCATCACCTCACCCAGGAAGTGCCAGCAGTCAGGGAACTCCTTTCCCTAGCCAAGGGAAGCTGTGAGGGACTGTGCCGTGAGGCATGGTGCATTCCAGCCCAGGTACTATGCTTTTCCCATGGTCTTCATGACTCGCAGACCGGGAGATTCCCTCGGCTGCCTACCCCACCAGTGCCCTGGATTACAAGCACAAAACTGGGCAGCCATTTGGGTAGACCCTTAGCTAGCTGCAGAAGGTTTTTTCATACCCCAGTGGCACCTGGAATGCCAGCGAGACAGAACTGTTCACTCCCCTAGAAAGGGGGTTGAATCCAGGCAGCCAAATGGTCTAGCTCGGCCTATCTCACCTACATGGAGCCCAACAAGCTAAGATCCACTGGCTTGAAATTCTCCCTGCCAGCACAGCTGTCTAAAGTTGACCTGGGACACTCGAGCTTGGTTGGGGGAAGGGTGTCCGCCATTACTGAGGCTTCACAGTGTAGACAAAGCCTCCTGGATGTTTGAACTGGGCGGAGCCCACTGCAGCTTGGCAAAGCCACTGTAGCCAGACTGCCTCTCTAGATTCCTCCTTTCTGGGCAGGGCATCTCTGAAAGAAAGGCAGCAGCCCCAGTCAGGGGCTTATAGATAAAACTCCCCTCTCCCTGGGACAGAGCACTTGGGGGAAAGGGTGGCTATGGGTACAGCTTCAGCACACTTAAACATCCCTGCCTGCCAGCTCTGAAGAAAGCACCAGACCTCCCAGCACAGCACTTGAGTTTTGCTAAGGGACAGACTGCCTCCTCAAGTAGGTTCCTGACCCCCGTGCCTCCTGATGACGCGACACCTCCCAGCAGGGGTCAAGAGACACCTCATACAGGAGAGCTCTGGCTGGCATCTGGCAGGCCCCACTCTAGGATGAAGCTTCCAGAGGAAGGAGCAGGCAGCAACCTTTGCTGACCTGCAGGCTCCACTGGTGATACCCTGGCAAACAGCCTCCACTGGTGCTACCCAGGCAAAAGTGATACCCAGGTGATACCCTGGGTATCACTCTACTGGTGATACCCAGGTGATACCCAGGGTCTGGAGTGGACCTCCAGCAAACTCCAGCAGACCTGCAGAAGAGGGGCCCGACTGTTGGAAAACTAACAAATAGGAAGCAATTGCATCAACATCAATAAAAAGGATGACTATGCAAAAACCCAATCTGAAGGTCACCTATATCAAAGACCGAAGGTAGGCAAATACACGAAGATGAGAAAAACTAGCAAAAAGGCTGGGAATTTCAAAAACCAGAACACCTCTTCTCTTCCAAAGGATCACAACTCCTGGCCAGCAAGGGAGCAAGACTGGACAGAGAATGAGTTTGATAAATTGACAGAAGTAGGCTTCAGAAGGTGGGTAATAATGAACTCCTCTGAGCTGAAGGAGCATGTTTTAATCCAATGCACAGAAGCTAAGAACCTTGATAAAAGTTTACAGGAGCTGCTAACTAGAATAATCAGCTTGGAAAAGAACATAAATAACATGATGGAGCTGAAAAACACTGCGTGAGAACTTATTGAAGCATACACAAGTATCAACAGCTGAATCGACCAAGCAGAAGAAAGGATATCAGAGATTGAAGATCTACCTAATGAAATAAAGCATGAAGACAAGATCAGAGAAAACAAAATAGAAAGGAACAAACAAAGCCTCCAAGAAATATGGGACTATGTGAAGAGACCAAATCTGCGTTTGATTGGTGTACATGAAAGTGATGGGGAGAATTAAACCAAGTTGGAAAATACTCTTCAGGATATTATCCAGGAGAACTTCCCCAACCAAGCAAGACAAGCCAACATTCAAATTCAGGAAATTCAGAGAAAACCACAAAGATGCACCTTGAGAAAAGCAAGCCCAAGACACATAATATCAGATTCACCAAAGTTGAAATGAAGGAAAAAATGTTAAGGGCAACCGGGGGAAAGGTTGGTTTACCCACAAAGGGAAGCCCGTCAGACTAACAGCGAATCTCTCTGCAGAAACCCTATGAGCCCAAAGAGTGTAGGGACCAACATTCAACACACTTACAGAAAAGAATTTTCAACCCAGAATTTTATATCCAAACAAACTAAGCTTCGTAAGTGAAAGAGAAATAAAATCCTTTACAGACAAGCAAATGCTGAGGGATTTTGTCACCACCTGGCCTGCCTTACAAGAGCTCCTGAAACAAGCACTAAATATGGAAAGGAAAAACCAGTACCAGCCACTGCAAAAACATACCAAAATGTAAAGATCATCGACACTATGAAGAAAGTGCATCAACTAATGGGCAAAATAACCAGCTAACATCATAATGACAGGATCAAATTCACACATAACAATATTAACCTTAAATGTAAATGGTCTAAATGCCCCAATTAAAAGACACAGACTGGCAAATTGGAGAAAGTGTCAAGACCCATTGGTGTGCTGTATTCAGGAGACCCATCTCACATGCAAAGACACACATAGGCTCAAAATAAAGGGATGGAGGAATATTTACCAAGCAAATGGAAAGCAAAGAGAAGCAGGGGTTGCAATCTTAGCTTCTGATAAAACAGACTTTAAACCAACAAAGATCAAAAAAGACAAAGAAGGGCATTACATAATGGTAAAGGGATGAATGCAGCAAGAAGAGCTAACTGTCCTAAGTATATATGCATCCAATACAGGAATACCCAGATTCATAAAGCAAGTCCTTAGAGACTTAGACTCCCACACAATAATAGTGGGAGACTTTAACACCCCATTGTCAATATTATACAGACCAATGAGACAGAAAAAATTAACAAGGATATTCAGGACCTGAACTCAGCTCTGGACCAAGCAGACCTAATCGATGTCTACAGAACTCTCCACTACAAATCAAGAGAATATACATTCTTCTCAGCACCTCGCACTTATTCTAAAATTGACCACATAATTGCAAGTAAAACACTCTTCAGCAAATATGAAAGAATGGAAATCATAACAAACAGTCTCTAAGACAGTGCAATCACATTATAATTGAGGATTAAGAAACTCATTCAAAACTGCACAACTACATGGAAACTGAACAAGCTGCCCCTGAATGACTACTGGGTAAATAATGAAATTAAGGCAGAAATCAAGAAGTTCTTTGAAACCAATGAGAACAAAGAACCAATGTCCTAGAATTTCTGGGACACAGCTAGAGCAGTGTTTAGAGGGAAATTTATAGCACTAAATGCCCACAGGAGAAAGCAAGAAAGATCTGAAATCAACACCCTAACATCAAAATTAAAAGAAATAGAGAAAAAAGAGCAAACAAATTCAAAAGCTAGCAGAAGACAAGACATAACTAAGATCGGAGCAGAACTAAAGGAGATACGCAAAAAACCCTTCAAAAATCAATGAATCCAGGAGCTGTTTTTTTGAAAAGATTAACAAAATAGATAGACCACTAGCCAGATTAATAAAAAAGCGCAAAGAATCAAATAGACACAATAAAAAATGATAAAGGCGATATCACCACTGATCCCACAGAAATACAAACTATGATCAGAGAATACTATAAACACTTCTATGCAAATAAATCAGAAAATCCAGAAGAAATGAATAAATTCCTCGACACATACACCCTCCCAAGACTAAACCAGGAAGAAGTCAAATCCCTGAATAGACCAATAACAAGTTCTAAAATTGGGCAGTAATTAATAGCCTACCAATCAAAGAAAGCCCAAGACCAGATGGATTCACAGCCGAATTCTACCAGAGGTACAAACAAGAGCTAGTAGAATTTCTTCTAAAACTATTCCAAGTAATAGAAAAAGAGGGACTCCTCGCTAACTCTTTGGATGAGGCCAGCATCGTCCTGATACGAAAACCTGGCAGAGACACAACAGAAAAATAAAATTTCAGGCCAAATTCTACCAGTACAAAGAAGAGCTGGTACCATTCCTTCTGAAATTATTTCAAGCAATAGAAAAAGAGGAACTCCTCCCTAACTCTTTTTATGAGGCCAGCATCATCCTGCTACCAAAACCTGGCAGAGACACAATAAAAAAAGAAAATTTGGGGCCAATATCTCTGATGAACATCGATGTGAAAATCCTCAGTAAAAATACTAGCAAACCGAATCCAGCAGCACATTAAAAAGCTTGTCCACCATGATCAAGTCAGCCTCATCCCTGTGATGCAAGGCTGGTTTAACATATGCAAATCAATCAACGTAATCCATCACATAAACAAAACCAATGACGAAAATCACATGATTATCTCAATAGATGCAGAAAAGGCATTCAATAAAATTCAACACCCCTTCATGCTAAAAACACTCAATAAACTAGGTATTGATAATAAGAGCTATTTATGACAAACCCACGGCCAATATCATACTGAATGCGCAAAAGCTGGAAGCATTCCCTTTGAAAACTGGATCAAGACAAGGATACCCTCTCTCACCACTCCTCTTCAACACAGTATTGGAAGTTATGGCCAGGGCAATCAGGCAAGAGAAAGAAATAAAATGTATTCAAAGAGGAAGAGAGGAAGTCAAATTATCTCTATTTGCAGATGACATGATTGTATATTTAGAAAACCCCATTGTATCAGCCCCAAAACTTCTTAAGCTGATAAGCAACTTCAGCAAATTTTCAGGATACAAAATTGATGTGCAAAAATCACAAGAATTCCCATACACCAATAATAGACAAACAGAAAGCCAAATAATGAGTGAACTCCCATTCACAAGTGCTACAAAGATAATAAAATACCTAGGAATACAACTTGCAATGGATGTGAAGGACCTCTTCCAGGGTAACTACAAACCACTGCTCAAGGAAATAAGAGAGGACACAAACAAACGGAAAAACATTCCATGCTCATGGATGGGAGGATTCAATATCATGATAATGGCCATATATCCCAAAGTAATTTATAGATTCAATGCTATTCCCATCAAGCTACCATTGACTTTCTTCACAGAATTCGAAAAAACTATGTTAAATTTTATATGGAACCAAAAAAGAGCCTGTATAGCCAAGACAATCCTAAGCAAAAAGAACAAAGCTGGAGGCATCACGCTACCTGACTTCAAACTATACTACAAGGCTACAGTAACCGAAACAGCATGGTACTGGTACCAAAACAGATACATAGACCAATGGAACAGAGCAGAGGCCTCAGAAATAACACCACAGATCTACAACCATCTGATCTTCAAGAAACCTGACAAAAACAAGCAGTGGGGAAAGGGTTCCCTATTTAATAAGTGGTGTTGGGAAAACTGGCTAGCCATATGCAGAAAACTGAAACTGGACCTCTTCCTTCCACCTTATACAAAAATAAACTCAAGATGGATTAAAGATTTAAATGTAAGACCAAAAACCATAAAAATTCTAGAAGAAAACAGGCAATACCATTCACGACATAAGTGTGGGCAAAGGCTTAATGACTAAAGCACCAAAAGCAATGGCAACTTGAAGCCAAAATTGAAAAATGAGATCTAATTAAACTAAAGAGCTTCTGCACAGCAAAATAAACTATCATCAGAGTGAACAGGCACCTACAGAATAGGAGAACATCTTTGCAATCTATCCATCTGATGAAGGGCTAATATCCAGAATCTACAAGGAACTTAAACAAATTTACAAGAAAAAAAAAACACCACCAAAAAGTGGGCAAAGGATATGAACACACACTTCTCAAAAGAAGACATTTATGTGGCCAAGAAACATACGAAAAATGGCTCATCATCACTGGTCATTAGAGAAATGCAAATCAAAACCACAATGAGATACCATCTCATGCCAGTTAGAATGATGATCATTAAAAAGTTAGGAAACAACAGATTTTGGAGAAGATCTGGAGAAATAGGAATGCTTTTACACTGTTTTGGGAGTGTCAATTAGTTCAACCATTGTAAAAGACAGTGTGATGATTCCTCATGGATCTAGAACTAGAAATACCATTTGACCCAGCAATCCCCATTACTGGGTATGCACCCACGGGATTATAAATCATTCTACTATAAAGAGACATGCACACGTATGTTTATTGCAGCACTATTCACAATGGCAAAGACTTGGAACCAACTCAAATTCCCATCAATGATAGACTGGATAAAGAAAATGTGGCACATATACACCATGGAATACTATGCAGCCATAAAAAAGAATGGTTCATGTCCTTCCCAGGGAAATGGATAATGGGATCTTTCTCAGCAAACTAACACAGAAACAGAAGGCCAAAGACCACATGCTCTCATTCATAAATGGGAGTCGAACAATGAGAACATATGGGCACGGCGGGGGGGAACATCACACACTGGGACATGTTGGGGGGTGGGGGCAAGGGAAGAGATAATATTAGGAGAAATACCTAATGTAGATGACAGGTTGATGGGTGCCACAAACCACCATGGCACATGTATACCTATGTAACAAACCTGCATGCATGTATCCCAGAACTTAAGTATTAAAAAAAAAAAAAAAAAAAGGACAAGTGCGGTGGCTTACACCGTAATCCCAGCACTTTGAGAGGCTGAGTTGGGTGAATCATGAGGTCAGGAGTTCGAAATCAGCCTGGCCAACATGGTGAAACCTCGTATCTACTAAAAATTAGCTGGGTGTAGTGGCGGGCGCCTATAATGCCAGCTACTTGAGAGGCTGAGGCAGGAAAATTGCTTGAACCCAGGAGGCAGAGGTTGCAGTGTGCCAAGATCATACCACTGCACTCCAGCCTGGGTGACAGAGTGAGACTTCATCACAAAAAAAAAGAATGTGATATATCTGATGAACAGGAATCTTCATTAATTGCATCCATTTTTATATTCTCTGATCAAGCCCATTGATATGGCATCTTATTTTAAATTATGATAAAATGACTGTAAATGTAGAACAGATAGGTCTATATTATCATTGCTCATTTGGGGGCGCTTTTTGCTTCCAAGGAACATTGGCAATACATGAAGCATGTTAGGTTAGCACAATGAGGGGTTTGGGGAGCTGCTAGCATCTAGTGGGTACAGTCTAAGGACACTGTTAAATATCCCACAGTGTACAGGATAGTTCCCCACAACAAAGAATTACCCAGTCCAATATGTCAATAGTACTGAGGTTGAGAAGCATTGATTTATATGAAATCAAATATTTATTAGCCTGAGGAGTCAAATTGTCTGGTTTCAAATCCTGACTCCACTTGGAAAGTATCTGTTTGACTCTGGGTAGTTTATCTGTCCATCAGGGTTTTTTTTTTTCCTTTATAAAATGGAGGTAATGATTCATGAATCAAAGTGTTGTCATCAGCATTAAATACTTAGAACAGTATTTGAATAAGGTGACAATAAATAAATATTATCATATACATTATTACATGTTAATGTATGTGATTTTCTCATCACAAAATTGTCAAGTCAAAGCGATTTTGCCAGAATTTCTTTTTCCTGGTGCAATATTCATTTGTATCTAGTCGTGATTTTCTTTTGTCTTAACTAAACACCACCTAAGTTAGCCATATAATGATAACTAAGTTTCATTTTCATTTTCTCTTCTCTCTAGACATATCAAGTCTATGTGGTTGGTGTTTCAGTTCAGTCATCTAACAAGGGAAAGTTGTAGTAAACAAATAGATCTAATACTAGCAAAAGGTAAAAATGACATACAATTTGAGCTAGAATAATGACTAAGAATAGTTATCTTAATTCTGTTGAGTATGCTCTGGTTTCTCTTCAGATCTTATAAATCTTTTGCCTTTTTAGTTCTTCTGAGTATCATGAGAATTCTTAGCGTTTTCTCAATAGCAACATTTTATCATTTTATATTCCCATCCAAAGAACCCATTTATGCTGTTGATTATAAAGTCTAAACAGAGTAATTTCAATACCATAATTTCTATGTTGTTTTACCAATAGTATTAAAAATGTTGTAAAGCATATATATTGTTGGCAAATGCTTGCATTTTCCAATATGAACAAATAAATTGTTATAAATCAAATAACTTTGAAATCACACATGTAGTTACTGTGTTAATGTAAATCTAGACTAGAAGACCCCCTTCTTCAAAAAAGGTACTCTGGAACTTTCTAGCTATACCCTTATTCGTAAGCTTCTTGATAAAAATATTTATTGGATACTGAAGCACTGGGTACTAGAAAGAAACGAAATTTTTCTAAGCTATTTTTTTAATAAACAAATGCAAATCATCACATTTTAGTGAATATATACCTAAACACACACACACGCATATATGTGTCAATAGTCAATAACACAAAAACAGTCAGAAGCAACACTTACTTGTGACTGGAGTTTATTGAAGTCTGTGTGGGGAAAAATGTGTCTAATTTCTCAGCCTGTATAAGTCTACATTTTTCTTTTTTGAGATGGAGTCTTACTCTGTTGCCCAGTCTGGAGTGCAGTGTCACCATCTCAGCTCACTGCAACCTCCGCCTCCTGGGCTCAAGCAGTTCTCCTGCCTCAGCCTCCCGAGTACCTGAGATTACAGGTGCCCACCACTATGCCCAGCTAATTTTTGTATTTTTAGTAGAGACGAGGTTTCACCATTTGGCCAGGCTAGTGTCAAACTCCTGACCTCAGGTGATCTGCCCGCCTCGGTCTCCCAACGTGCTGGGATTACAGGTGTGAGCCACGATGCCTAGCCTAGACTACATTTTGATTTACATAATCTTTACCCCACTGGCAAGGAAACTTTGTGATCTAAAAGTGATATGATGTGTTAGATCAAGATATCTGCTTGCAGTAAAAACTAACTTGTAAGTTTTAGAAAACAGATAAAAAATTCCCAATACTATCTAATGTATAGATATGGCTAGATATTTGATATAATAATATTTCATCATTAATGTTGATTGTCCTAAACTATAAAACCTAAAGCCAAAATGGGTAAGCAAGAGGCAGGTGCTCTCTAGCCTGTGTTTCCTTTAAAGACTAGCATTACAAAAAACCTGATTCATTCAGTTCCTTGATTTTTGGCCACAACTGCATATTAAAATTATTTGGGAACTTTTGAAACACGGTTACCTAGGCCTCACCAAGACCAATTAAGTCTGAATCACTGTAGGTGCAGCCTGGGAATCAATATTTTCGAAAAGCTCTCCAGCTGATTCTAATATGCAGCCAGGGTTGGGAACTCTTAAGTTAGTCCACTAGCCCAGCTAGACTCATTATGCCAGTGGCTTTTCCGGCTTCACCACTAGTGAGGCTAGCATTGACCCCTCTCTCCTACACTCACCCCCATCCCCTGCAGTGCTGTCTGGGCAGTAGTGTTCTGTTTGTTCTCATATCAGCTGAGGAGGGAATATGGAAAGAGAATAAATGTTTTTGTACATTATTTCATTTGAGAGTCACAATACTTCCTCTGTGGTATACAGGTAGACATGCAAGTGAGCCATTTTGTCATCAGATTCTCCAGCCCCAGTCAAGATGACAACCAGCACTCGCTGACATCCAGACCATAACCTCATGTGAGACTCCGAGCCAAAACTACCTAGCCAAGCTACTTTTGAATTTTTTACCCACAGAACTGTTTGCTGTCTTAACATGCTATAATTTGGACACCTCTGTCATACAGTAGTAGTTATCCAATATGGTAATAAGAGAAGAGAGAAGGTCATATAGCAGGTGAAAGCTGATAAGACAATTTGGAAGCTGTAGGACAAATAGACAAGTGTTATAGGCAGAATGTAGGTGAGACTGAACATATGTGGAAGAATAATTGAAAGTCAAAAAGAGAACTTAGATTCCAGAATATCCTTTCCCTCTCCTATCTACACATGAGCCAAAACAAAACAAAAAAGCAATATCTGTTGCTATTTGGGCAGGAGCCTGATGACTTGCTCTAAGGAGGGATGATGGATTCTGGGGAAGCAAGAACAGCTATGGAAAAGAGCGCTAGATTTAAATAAGGTTAACTAAATGGAACTCTACTTGATGATTTTCAGGCATCCGGCCCAAATCTCCAGATAGTCTCCCAGAATATTAAAAAGTAGTGTTATAACTGCCACCCATACTAAGTATTAACTTACCCAAATACAGTGATAAGAGCTTATTGTGAGAGTAAGGAAAGACCAGTGAAAGGAGCTATGGGTATTAGAGTTCTAAATCTCATCCTCCATACTAGAAAATGATACACATTTTATGATTTATATATCTTGAAATAGTGATATGGATATAAATTTTATATATACCCAGGTAAATATAAGAAGACTACTTAAAAGGCAAAGAAATCAAGTGAGAGGTGCTAGGGAAATATAGCAGAAGACCACATTTTTCATTACTGATCTTTTCAGTTCTACTTGAATTTTTAAACTGAGTACATGTACTACTTTTATAAAATAAAACTCATTAAAAGGGCTATAATAAACTAATTAAAATGCAAATGTGGGGAAAATGTGGGAAAACATTTCCAGCTAATGTGACAGTCAACAAGATGATATTCATGTATTCAAATAATTCACTCATTACTGGGAAAAAATATAACATGCTGTCATGGTTGAAAGTGAGTGATGTGGAGATAGACTCCATTTTTGAATCTCAGCTTCTTTGACACTCACTTTTATTCCTGGGCTAGATACATAATTTTCCTATCTCTAAAAAACCAATGCCTACACAACACAGTTCTTGGAAAAATAAATATAAGAAAGCTTGTAAAGTGTTTGACAATACCTGGTACATAGTAAGTAATAAATATTAGCTATATAATTCAGTGGGATATATTTACCAAATGGCTCCATGTACACAGCTGTATTAATCCATTCTCATAATGCTATAAAGACATACCAGAGACTGCATAATTTATAAAGAAAGGGATTTAATTGGCTAATGGTTCTGCAGCTATACAGGCTTCTGCTTCTGGGAGGCCTCAGGAAACTTACAATCAAGGCAGAAGGAGAAGGGGAAGCAAGCACATCTTACATGGTGGGAGCCAGAGGAAGACAGAGAAGGGGAAGTGCTACACATTTTCAGACAACGAGATCTCGTGAAACTCACTTACTATCACGAGAAGAGCAAGGGGGAATTCCGACCCCATGATCCAATCACCTCCGACCAGGTACCTCGCCCAACATTGGGGATTACAATTCAACATGAGATTTGGGTGGGGACGCAGAGCCAAACTGTATCACTAGCAGTATCCTAACTCTGGGTATAAAGAACCATGAATGAACCAAGAATAATTTCTGCATGTAGAATTGGAAGTCTATATTAAGAAACAAAGGAAAGGCCAGGCATGGTGGCTCATGCCTGTAATTCTAGCACTTTTGGATGCTGAGGCAGGTGGATCACTTGAGCTCAGGAGTTTGAGACCAGCCTGAGCAACGTGGCAAAACCCCATCTCTACAAAAAATACGAAAATTACTTAGGTGTGGTGGCATGTACCTCCAGCTACTCAGGAGGCTGAGGTGGGAGGATTGGTTGAACCTGGGAGGCAGAGATTGCAGTGAGCTAAGATCATACCACTAAACTCCAGTCTGGGTAACAGAATAAGATCCTCTCTCTCAAAAAAAAAAAAAAAAAAAAAAGGCACAAAATAATACAAGATATTTTAAAAACTAAAAATGTTTTTAAAAATCCAAGTCTTGGCCAGGCGCGGTGTCTCACTCTTGTAATCCCAGCACTTTGGGAGGCCGAGGCGGGCGGATCGCGAGGTCAGGAAATCGAGACCATCCTGGCTAACATGGTGAAACCCCGTTTCTACTAAAAATACAAAAAATTAGCCGGGCATGGTGGCGGGCGCCTGTAGTCCCAGCTACTCGGAGAGGCTGAGGCAGGAGAATGGCGTGAACCCGGGAGGTGGAGCTTGCAGTGAGCCGAGATCGCGCCACTGCACTCCAGCCTGGGTGACAGAGTGAGACTCCGTCTCAAAAAAACAAACAAACAAACAAAAAATCCAAGTCTTAAAAGGGATTAGTGCTCTGAAAGAAACAGAGTAATAGGCAATGTTGTGGGGTATGTATGTGTGTGTGTATGTTAAACGGTGGAAGTTGTACTTTCAAAGGTAATCATTGGTTCTCTCACAAGGAGATCCTGTATTAAGTCAAAGTCTTTATTAGTCAGCTGGGGTTACCAAAACAGAACACAACAGACTGGGTGTCTTAAAAAGCAGAATTTTTTTCCCACAGTTCTGAAATTTAGAATTCCAAGATCATGCTTTCAGCAATTTGATTTCTGGTGAGGGCTCTCTTCCTGGCTTGCAGATGAGCACCTTCCCATCGTGTCTTCACAAGATCTTTCCTTCGTGCTCATACAGGGTGGATGAGCTCTCTGTGTCTCTTCTTTTAAGGACATTAACCCTGTCAGATCAACACTCTACTCCTATGACTTCATTTAACCTTAGTTGCCTCTGTAAAGTCCCTGTCTTAAAATACAGACACATTGGGGTGCAGGGCTTCAGTATATGAATGGGAGGTTGTGTGGATTATAATCACTCAGCCCAAAAGACAAGCATAAGAACGTAACTTCCGTGAGTGTGGACAGGGTAAGAAAAGAAATCTGTATATGTATTGGCATATTTCAATGACTGAAAGAAACCCAATGTGAATAGCAGAATTGGTAAGCTGGGGCAATTATGAGGTAACGAAAGATTAGAATAGAGCGATAGGGTGGGGACCTACAGGTCATGTTTTTCAGATTTTATTTTAAACATGAAGAAAAACCATTGAAGACGTGAAGCTGAGTGGTAATAAAATGCAATGTGTTTTGAAAGCATCACTATTTTGGTTTCATGGAACAAATTGTAGGTAATCCTTAATATACAGTGAGTCATCAAATACAGTATATCAAGTAGTAAAAAACAGGCAAAAGTATGATCAAAGTATTTACAGAATTAATATGTTACAATATATTTAAGCTCCTTCTATTAATAAAAGGAATATTAATTAAAAGCATCAGTGGTATGTTATTTTTATCTTATCAAATTTTTATTAATGGGGCCCAACTAAGGTAAAATTCAACCAGTGTATTGGAGTAGAACCAAGATAAGATGATATAAAAAGCAAAACAAACAAACAAACAAACATGGAATTCAGCAGCCCTAAATAACTGTATGTCATCAAGAAAACAGAAACTTCACTCTTGTTTTTATTTTTCAGACAGTGCCAGCCCCCAATGACCATACAGAAATGTGTCAAGGTACTTTTGGTTACAGTGCCAGTGGAGGTTCTATTGGGAATTATGTTAGTCTATTGGGGCTTTTATAACAAACAAACATTAGGCTGGGTGTCTTATAAGTAACAGAAATTGCTCACAGTTCTTGAGACTGAGAAGTCCAAGATTAAGGTACTGGCTGATGTGGTGACTGTTGAAGATCAGCTTGATTCACAGATGGTACCTTCTCACTGTGTCTTCCTGTGGTGAGAGAAGAAAAGTGACTCTCTGGAGTCACTTTTTTTTTTTTTTTTTTTTTTTTTTTTTTTTGAGATGGAGTCTCATTCTTTCTCCAGGCTGGAGTGCAGTGGTGCAATCTCGGCTCACTACAACCTCCGCCTCCCGGGTTCAAGCGATTCTCCTGCCTCAGCCTCCCAAGTAGCTGGGACTACAGGCATGCATCACCACGTTCAGCTAATTTTTGTATTTTTAGTAGAGACGGGGTTTCACCATGTTGGCCAGGATGGTCTCTATCTCTTGACCTTGTGATCCACCCGCCTTGGCCTCCCAAAGTGCTGGCATTACAGGCGTGAGCCACTGCACCTGGCCTAGAGTCACTTTTATAGAGTACTTCTCCTATTCATAAGGGCTCAACCCTTATGACCTAATCACCTCCCAAATGCCCCACCTCCTACTACCATCACTTTGTGGGTTAGGATTTCAGCATATGAATTTTGGGGAGACACAAACGCGCAGATCATAGCAGCAATTATTTGAGCAGATGCAGAGGAATTGTGATGTGGAGAAAAACTAAACTTTCTGAAATGGTCTGGCAAATTCTACACAAGGAAAATATAGCTATACCCTAATGCCAACAGTGCCCCAAGTGAGGATGGCACAGGTTAATGTCAAGAAAGCAGTCATTCTTCTGTTTCCTCTTGTCTGGCTAAGAGACAGGCTCTCTAGAGTAGAGGAAACCAGAAATAGCCACATCCCAAAAATTACAGAAAAATATACTCATGGAGAGAGAAATGCTTGAGGAAGGAACTATGAAGAATTATTCAAGGTATTAATGCCTGAGAGAGTGGCCCAATGCAGATGTGAGGCTTAGAGAAATGGAAAATAGTTGCTCTTATAAAAGACATTTCCATTTTGTGGTAGATTGGTACACCAACCTCAGTCAAGCAACCTGGCAAAGATTAACCTTTAAATGAGTTAATATCCTGTAATTTTAGTTCAGGGAAACTGTCCTAAAGAAATTATCAGAAACTCCAGGAATCCTCCACAATATTAGTTACAATGTTATTTATATTAAGAAAATATAGAAATGATTACATGTTATGTAGCTATCCAAATTGTGTTTTCCAAAATATTTTATTCTCATGTATATCTTTTCACAATATATTGATAGGAGAAAATATGTACATATTTACCTAGGGTTTATATCTATATATATCTAGATATAGATACATATATAGACACACATGCACATAAATATGTATATATTAAAAGGAAACTTCCTAAACTAATAACAATGATCATCTTTCGTAGGTAGGTAGTGTTACTGAGGGCATTCCAAAAATATCTTTATTTTCAAAACTTCTATAACAATCATATATTGCTTTCCTTTTTGTGGCTATTTGCAAAATAAAATATGTACTTTTCTCACTGTAAAAGATTCAGACAACACTGAGATATGTGAGAGCTGTATTATATTTTAAGAAAGTCACTTCTGAGGATATTATATAATTACAGGTTTGCATAGTTCAAGCCTAAAGTAATTCCAAAATAATTTCTATTATAGAAAAGCCAATGGAGAAATGTGGTCTCAGAAAATAGGAATTTCCAATCACAGCACATACATCTCCTATGATATATTTTTTCTCTAATTACACTTTTTATTTCAGCGAAAATAAAATTTCTACATTTAAAACTTGACCTTCTTTGTAAATTTTTTTTATTTTACTTTAAGTTCTGGGATACAGTGCAGAACACGCAGGTTTGTTACATAGGGACACGTGTGCCATGGTGGTTTGCTATATACCTATTAACCCATAATCTAGGCTTTAAGCCCTGGATACATTAGCTATTTTTCCCTCCCCTCACCCCTATCACCTGACAGGCCCCAATGTGTGTTGTTCCCCTCCCTGTGTCCATGTGTTCTAATTGTTCAACTCCCACTTATGAGTGAGAGCATGCAGTGTTTGGTTTTCTGTTCCTGTATTAGTTTGCTGAGGATGATGGTTTCCAGCTTCATCCATGTCCCTGGAAAGGACACGATCTCATTTCTTTTTATGGCAGCATAGTATTCCATGGTGTATATGTACTACATTTTCTTTATCCAGTCTAGTATTGATGGACATTTGGGTTGGTTCCATGTCTTAGCTATTGTAAACAGTGCTGCAATAAACATGCGTGTACATGTGTCTTTACAGTAGAATAATTTATATTCTTTTGGGTATATACCCAGTAATGGGATTGCTGATTCAAATGGTATTTCCGCTTCTAGATGCTTGAACACTGTCTTCCACAATGGTTGAACAAATTTACATTCCCAACAACAGTGTAAAAGGATTCCTTATTGCCCATATCACTACCAGGCTTTTGGTGAAAGCCATTCAAGTCTCTAGTAAGTTCCAAACTTTCCCACATTTTCCTGTCTTCTTCTGAGGTCTCCAAACTGTTCCTCCCTCTGCCTGTTACCCAGTTCCAAAGTTGCTTCCACATTTTCGGGTATCTTTTCAGCAATGCCTCACTCTATTGGTACTAATTTACTGTATTAATCCGTCTTCACACTGCTGTTAAAGACATACCTGAGACTGGGAAGAAAAAGAAGTTTAATTGGATTTACAGTGCCACGTGGCTGGGGAAGTTCTCGCAATCATGGTGGAGAGTGAAAGGCACTTCTTACATGGTGGTGTCAAGAGAGAATGAGGATGAAGCAAAAGTGGAAACCCCTGATAAAATCAACAGATCTCATGATACTTATTCACTATCATGAGACTAATATGGGAAAGACCAGACCATATGTTTCAATTACCTCCACTGGGTCCCTTCCACAACACATGGGAATTATGGGAGATATGATTTAAGTTGAAATTTGGGGAAGGGCACAGCCAAACAATATCAATCCCTTCCTTACACTTTATACAAAAATAAACTCAAGATGGATTAAAGACTTAAATGTAAAACCCAAAACCATAAAAACCCTAGAAGAAAACCTAGGCAATACCACTCAGGACATAGGCATGGGCAACAATTTCACGGCAAAAATGCTAAAAGTAATTGAAAGAAAAGCTAAAATTGACAAATGGGATTTAATTAAAATAAAGAGCTGCACAGCAAGAGAAACTATCATCAGAGTGAAGAGCAAACCTACAGAATGGGAGAAAATTTTTGCAATCTACCCATCTGACAAAGGGCTAATATCCAGATTCTACAAGGGACTTAAATAAATTTACTAGAAATTTAACATGACTAATTGAGTTCCAAAGTTTTTGTTGCCAGGCAGCACTTATCAGAACATGCATGCACTGGTCCTATTATTTAATTAATTCTTAGATTGTATTGCCATAATGTAAAGAATATTTTCAAGTTATAACAAATGTGAATGCCAAATAATAGCACAGGTGTTGTAAAATTTTTCTGGAAAATTCCAATGTATGCAAATGAACATTGTAACTTAGAAGAAGTGCTGAAAAAATGGAGGAAAATGGATATTTCTGTTTAACAGCTAAAGTGATACTGATACAGGGAGAGGCCAAGGAAGTGCTGGGTAGAAAAGGGTGGGATCTCTGACAAGGGTTCCACCCTCAGGCTTGTGCCCATGAACCTAAGTGAGAACAGGCACTCCTGTTTCTGCGCCCAAATGTTGCATTTTCTAAGACCATTCTGGCCCACAATGCCCCCCATCCTATGCCCATAAAAACCTGAGACCCTAGCAGGCACAGCCACAAGCAGCTGGATGTCAAGAGAAGCCGAAGAGCACACCAACAGACACCAGCAGATACTAGCAGGCCATTGGGGTGGGACAATGTGAAATTTGGTTGGGGGCAGTCAGAAGAGAGGCCACCAGGCTGCCCAACTCCAGGAGAAGACCACCTTCCCACTTCATCCCCCTTCTGGCTCCCCATCCACCTCTCTGAGAGCTACCTCCAACTCTCAGTAAAACTTTGCACCCATTCTCCACGCCCATGTGTGATGTGATTTTTCTGTATACCAGGGCAAGAACCCAGGATACAGAAAGCCCTCTGTCCTTGTGATATGGCAGAGGGTCTAATTGTGCTGATTAACACAAGCCGCCTACAGACAGCAAAGCTGAAGGAGCACACTGTAACACATGCCCACCGGATCTTCAAGAGCTGTAAACACTCAACCCTAGATGCTGCTGTGGGGCTGGAGCCAAAAATGCTCCCCACGATCTGCCTGTCTGCATGCTCCCCCTAGGGGTTTGAGCAGCAGGGCACAGAAGAATTGAGCCACACCCCTGTCATATGCCCTGTGATGGGGTAAAGGAACTTCTCCCATTTCATCACTAGCTTATGGCAATCACTGAAATACAGGGCAGAATGAACCTGGTCTGGTGGATTTTTCATGACAACAGTCTTGATAATTAAAAAATTAACATTTTATGTATTATTGTTTTATAAAATAGAATTACACTGCATATATAATACAACACACCATGATTATCCCCCCCACAGACACACAGACATACACACACACACACACACATAAACACACACACCTACACACAAACTCACATATACACACACTCTTTATCTCCTGTTATCAAGGTACTATCTCTTTCCAGAATTAGCCACTTAACAGTTTCGTGTTGGTGCCTCCAATAAGTGATTTTATTAATATACACATATTTAGTATATTGTATGACTTATAATAAAATTACAATACAATGAAATATATAAAATTAATCTCATTTTTTCTTCAATTTATGTACTCAATATCACTTTTTTGCAATGCTAACAAAATTCTTATGTACATGGTAACATTAGTTATATTGACTGGCTCGTAAATCTTTTCCTAAAATTTAAGAATTTAGTTACAAGAAGATTCTCCTTAGAATGTGTTCTCTAGATCTGTATTATGACTTTAATGTGTTTTACCTAGATATGGATAGACAAATTTTGAAAGTATGAATTTCATACTTTTCTATTACTCCGTAATATTACTTCTATAAATAACAAAAATGGGGGAAAGGAAGAAAACCATCTTTTCCATTTTACTTAGCAAAATACTTAACAAAAGATAATTGAATCATCAACAGCATATGGTTTTCTTGTGAAATAAAAGCCAGCTATAAATATTGAGCTAAGCTCATGCCTCATTAGAAGTAATTTAAGGACATTTATGAAGAATACTTATATTGGATTAGGGCTAAATTATTTTCCTATATGTGATATGATGGTAAAAATGTTTGCTTTAGAAAGAAAGAAAGAGATCAAACACCAATTTGAAAAAGGGTTCATTAAGTATTTATGAAAAAAATCTTTAGATTAAATTTCAGCCCAATGAAGCAATTATAAATTTGAGATCACTATGGTTTGAATGACTTCCTCCAAAAATTTGCTTTAGAAGCTTAATCCCAAATGCAACAGTGCTGGGAGTTTGGGCCTCCTGGGAGATGTTTAGGTCATGAGAGGTCTGCACTCATGAATGGATCAATGCTGCTATAAAAAGGACTTGCAGAAGTGGGTGCCATCTCTTCCTCTTTTCTGCCATGTGAGGACAAAGAGTTCCTTCCCGCATTGAGGATGCAGCATTCATGGTGTCATTTTGGAAGCTGAGACTGGGCCCTCACCAGACACCAAACCTTCCAGCACACTGATCTTGGACTTCTCAGCCCCCCGAACTGTGAGAAATACATTTTATTTATAAATTACTCAGTCTCAAGTATTCTCTTATAGTAGCACAAAATGAACGAAGAAAGGACGTTACTACATTAAAATGTTGCCTTTTCTAAGTTTCTCCTCTTATATGAAACTGGGTACCTCTTTAGTTACTTTTTTCTATATGTAGTATGATTCTGACTAGCAAATCAGCATGCAACTGCCACTTCAGCAATTAATAATTTCCTAAACATCCTTGCAAATTTCCATAATCATCATGGTTAAAATATAGTGAATCTACTAATAAAGATATGTCATGAACAGAACACTAAATAGTTAGAAGGATCCAAATAATTTTTGATGAAGAAAGAAAAGAAGTTTAGCTAACGAAATAAGTTTTTTGCTAGCAGAGACAGACATTGATGGCAAATTCTTATACCCATTTCCCAACTTTATGTAATTACATTTGGCTTTTTTGATGATGATGTTTCCTTAAATTTTACTTAAACACAAATAGTCCAAGTTACACGATTTTATTAGATTTTTAAGAAGCAGAAAAATTTGAATTTATAATAAAGATTGATCAGGGTTGCTGTTGTCATATTTCTCAATAAATCAACCCACAATGACTCAATATTTTAGCAGAAATGTTGTATGTGTGTGTATTTCCAGCTTTTGTGTCTCTGTAAGAAAAAGGTGCTTAACAGATGGAACAATATTGAACTTTACCCAGAGTTACATTCATCTTATGTGCAAGTCTATGCAACAAGCAAGCCAACTTGACAGTTTAATTCCACATTAGGATAATGCTTGGAAGGGTAATCCTATTTGCACTGCAGGATAAGAATGCCTGCATAGTGGCTTTGGCCTATAAAACTGTTAGCTATAAATTCTGAGCTGGCATTATGAGCTTCTTAACTTTTAAACCAGCTTTTTCTTAGCATCCTATTGCCAAGAGTGGGTTATTTGCCCCATAAATCCACCTAACCCATTATATTTTTCTTTTTGAAATCAGTTGGCAAATTTACCCAAAGTAATAAAATCTACTTTTCATTTGGATTATCTTATTTTGGACAAAATAATCACATGCATGTAAAAGAGGCAGAATGAGTTATAAATTCAACATTTTTGTTTGTGAGAGTAGTTTTAAAGAATGCCAGAACATTTTTATTTTTACTGTATTTAAGGATAAAACAAAATCAAACAACTGCTCATTTGAGTCAAGATAAATGTTCACAATATTTTTGTAAGGAAAATAAAAGGGTAAATTAAAATACCTTTTTGTTTACTTACTTTTTATAAAGTAGCACATAAATCTGATTGGATAACATACCCAGCCCGCGAGTTTATATAATAGATATAATTAATGTCTATACTTTGCTGCTGCAGAGTGACCAGACATGGGCACAGAAAGATGAGTTCCAAGGACTCCTGAGTGATGTCTTTCTTGCCTTCTCCATTCAAACACTAGCTAGATGTCTGAGGCTTCCAGGAGCCAAGTTTGAACATAAGTATCTTAAAGCCAAGCTTTTTTGCTCTTAGCTCTTAGTTTTCCAAATGGAGATGTTACATTTAATGAAAATGAAAACCCTCTGTAAAGAATCCTTTAGCAGACAAAGCCAGTTAGGCCTCATAAGGGACCCCAAACTTGCTTCATTTGCAAACATAAGTGAAATAACTGAAGCTATTTATTGTAAATGCCTATATAATTTAACTTAAAAACATAACATGCTCAACCAATCAGAAGAAACCAACAAACTTATAATTAGATTACTAAATATTTTCCAAAGGATAGACCAAACAAATCTGTATAACTGTGCAACTGTCAGTGATCAAATATTTGTCTGTCTTCTCTGTTAGTCCCACAAAAGCCAATATCTTATATTTCCTAAGGGAAGCTTCTAAACAACTTCTGGTTTAGAGCTGTCCAAATCATGACTATTTTTGCTCAAATTAACTCTTCAAATTTTTAGTGTGGCTCAGTTTATTTTTTAACAGAGAAAAATCTGCCTGGGACCTCAAGTTTTAGATGGAATGTTTACCGTAGAATCTACATGTCCTGCCATCTCTTTTAGCTCAGAAAGGGAGTGATTGTGAGAAAAGTTTTGAAGGCCTGAAATTCTGTCCTACGTTTCCATACCTACCTCATTGAGATTACGTCTTTTTTCAATTTCTTAGTGCTTTAATCTGTTTGTCATTTTATTTTTTCTTTTCATATGGCATTTCCATAATCCATTGCCATTTTCCCTTTAAGTTATTCTTTTCAATTAGTTATAATTTAGTTTGACACAGAATCATCTAATTTATATTTGCCTGTAAGTATAATTTATATCTTAACTATATTATTTATTTAATTAATAGACTACTTTCTGAGAGCAGTTTTATGTTCATGGCAAAATTGTGTAGAAAGTACACAGTTCCCTCCCGGGTGCCCCTCTCCTTCCCACACACACTGACTATGTTAATTTTTATTTTTGTTGTCTTAATTATATTTTTCAGTTTAAATATCATTAGATATTGTTTTTAAATTTATGTCTACAGAAGCAAGAATATTCATAATGATCATAGCTATAAGGATCATCTGTATCTGTTTGCCGCAATCTTTATTAAAAATGCCAACTTCAGCAGAATGGACATACAAAAGCTTTATAATAAGAAGGATTCTTGGGCTCCCTTCAGACACAGTAGGACAATTTCATGATCTATTAGAGATCCCACCATGGGCAGAGGAGGCAATGGCACCTTGGGTGTCACATTTTTGCCAAACTTCCCCCTATTACCTCAATAAAGAAATGTGAAATTCTAGGACAGGCAAGACTGATCTATAGTCAAACTGAAAGCAGATACAGACTGCCTGGAGGGAGGGCTGGGTGGGTGAATTTAGTGCAAAGAAGCACAAGCTAATTTTGTTGGTAATGGAAAATGGAAGTATTTTATATATTGTATAGTTCATATATTGTATTGCACATTGATTTGCTTCATGGTTACACAGATAAAGCCATTTGCAAAAATAATAAACTGAATATTTTAAAATGGTGCATTTTTTCTTATGTTTTTATACCAAAACAAAATGGATTTTAAAGCAAATGTTTTCCCTCGCAAGTTTCATAAACTTCTTAATTGAAAACATAATTTATTCTCTCATTATTGCAAACTTGTAATAATAAATTTTAGGAAATCTAAATAAATAGTTTCTTTCTATTTATTTGGGTTAATATTAAATGACCATATACTATCATCTTTTCTGAATAGCTGAAATTCTTGCTTTATCTTACCATATGTGGAAATAGATGATATAAAAGTTGGTGTCTCTATCCTATATGATCATTAACAAGGTATATATTTTAAGATAACAATATTAATGGAATTTAAAATGTATTTTACATTGTATCAAAACATCTCATGTACCCCATAAAGATATACACTTACTATGTCCCCACAAAAATTAAAAATTAAAAAATTAAAGTTACATTTTACACACATTAATTCAATTAATCTTCACATTCTAACTATTTTAATCCAAAATTACCGATGAAGTCATGAGATATTAATTTATTTGCACTAGGCCACCTAAATCATAAGTAATGTAGACAAAATTAAAATCCTGAATGATAGGCTCCAAAGTCCATGTTCTTAACTGTAACACAGAGTGCAGAGAGGTAGGAGGGAGGTGAAAGACATCAGCAGTTTAAAATATTCCAGTCTTCTGGAAGACATTTCTCCATAGCCAGGTTGGTCTATTCTTGCTTCAATATGTCTCCAACATCTTGACTTTATTGATTATTTTTACTCAACATAGGGTTCAAAAACATGTTCTCACTGGGACACTTATTTTTTTCTTTTAAGACTGTGTCTTAGAGTATGTACACTAGCAAAATGTGAAGCACCTTTTATTACTGGAAAATTTTTTTTAGTAAAACATAGTCCTTAATAAGTTAAAAGAACCAACTCTCTTATAAAATGGTTTAATTTCATTGTTTTGGAGTTATATTTAGGAAAGGCAAAAGAAGAATTCCCTTAATATGAAAGTGTATCAAATTTTTTCTTTATTGAGAGTTAAAGGAGATGTTTGAGATGTCCAAGATCATAATCAACAGAGTCTTTTTTTTTTTTTTTTTTTTTTTGAGACGGAGTCTGGCTCTGTCTCCCAGGCTGGAGTGCAGTGGCACATCTCTGCTCACTGCAAGCTCCGCCTCCCGGGTTCATGCCATTTTCCTGCCTCAGCCTCCCGCATAGCTGGGACTACAGGCGCCCACCACCACGCCCGGCTAGTTTTTTGTATTTTTTTAGTAGAGACGGGTTTTCACGGTGTCAGCCAGGATGGTCTCGATCTCCTGACCTCGTGATCCACCTGCCTCGGCTTCCCAAAGTGCTGGGATTACAGGCATGAGCCACCACGCCTGACCCATAATCAAAAGATTTTAAGAATTGAGGTAGTTTTATCTTTGATAAGTCTATGAGCACACAAACAAAACAAAATAAAAGTAACAATTAAAACCCTTATTAGCAAGCAAAACTTAAGTAGAACACTACAAGTCCACAAGAATGAGACCTTAATTTCCACTAAATTGGAACTTTGAGGTTAGAATTGGCCTAGGAGCTTGGTAGGAAACGGCCATGCTCAGCCTTTACCACCAGAAATTCTTATTTAATTTTTCCACTAGAGGCCTTGAGCATTATTTTTTATTTAGCTATTGTACATTGACTTCAAAATCTATTTTGTTTTGGAATGATATACATATGAAAAAGGCACTCAAAATATTCAGTTCATTATTTTTATAAATGTCTTTATGTAACCATGACGCAAATCAATATACAAGATATGAAATATACAATATATGAAATATTTCCATTTTCCATTACCAACAAAATTACCTTGTACTCCTTTCCACTAAATCCACCCACCCATCCCTCCCTCCAGGCAATCTGGATATGGTTTCAGTCACTATAGATTAGTCTTGCCTGTCTTAGAATTTCACATAAATAGAATAATGCAGTATTCATGTGTGCATGTGTGTCTGACATCTTTGTTCAGCATAATGCTTTTGAGATTTATCCTTATCATTGTGGTGTATATTCATAGCTGGTTCTTACTGCACAAAAGCATTGTAGTGTAAGTTTATATCAAATTTGTTTATACAAACATTTTTATGGCTTGTGTCTTTTTAAGTTCTTTCTAAAATCATTCCTTTCTATATGTTGAAGAATTTTTTTTCTGGAATTTTTACGGCTTTCGCTATTTTATGTTTAAGTGTATGACCCAATTTGAGTTTATAATTGCATTTGAAATGAGAGCAGGTTTGAAGTACATTTCTTTTTTTTTTTTTTTTGAGTTGGAGTCTTGCTCTGTCGCCCCGGCTGGAGTGCAGTGGCACAATCTCGGCTCACTGCTAGCTCTGCCTCCCGGGTTCACGCCATTCTCCTGCCTCAACCTCTCCGAGTAGCTGGGACTACAGGCGCCCGCCACCACGCCCGGCTAATTTTTTTATTTTTATTTTTAGTAGAGACGGCGTTTCACCGTGTTAGCCAGGATGGTCTCGATCTCCTGACCTCGTGATCCTCCCGCCTCGGCCTCCAAAGTGCTGGGATTACAGGCTTTAGCCACTGTGCCCGGCCTGAAGTACATTTCTTTAGATAGTCAGTCATTCCTCTACTATTCAGTGAAAAGACGATCCTTTGTCCATAGTGGCCTTGCCATAAATCAATTAATGTGATTCGGGGAAGAATTAATTTTTACTGAATTGAGTGACGATCACAGACAAATTTTAGTGGAGATGAATAGTGTATTTCTAGACTCTCTGCAATATTTAATTTGGTCTATAAGTGAAACCATACTACTTGATACCTTTATAGCAGGTCTTGAAATGTGTTACTGTAAATCCTCCAACTTTGTTTTATTTCAATTTTATTGTAGTGATGGCAGCAGCAGCCTATCTGGAGTGGCTGCTGCCATGATGCTGGCTGCAGTGGGGAAGGCAGGCAGGAGCCCCACCCTCCAGGGTGCAGCTGCAGCCGCCCAAGCTGGGGCTGTTGACCCAGGCATCTCTGCACTCTCAGGGGCCCAGGAAAGCCCTCCCTGCCCACACAGGCTCCAAAGTGCCTGCTCCTACTGCCTGGCCTCTCCCCACTCCCAGCTCCCGCTCCAGTCACTGAGAAAATTTAAGGTCACGCCTTGGTGCTGTCATAACCTAGCTGGGTGTGCACACGCTTGATGCAGAGCTAACTCTGGACTTTGGGTGCTGAAGAGCATGGGAGGGATGCAGACGTGGGGGCTGAGGGCAGCTTGGCACTGGCCTGCAGGTGCCCCTCAGCATAAACAGCCTGGATGCCATGAACAGTGGCAGGAGGCAGACAGTCTCCAGGGCAGAAAAGACCGGGTCCCCAGTGAAGCCCCGCTTTCAAGCTGGGGAGTGCCTGAAGCCTGGGGCCAGGGTGCCAGTCCTGTGGATCATAGTGGGAATTTGTGGTGCTTTTTTTGGGCTCGCTCATGGTTGCCCATGGACCAATCAACAGGCACTTCCTTCCATATGAGGCCCATGAAAGCCCCGGACACAGCCAGACTCACAGAGACAATGGGACAACCTGCCTGAAGAGAGGATCTACCCACTCCAGGGTCTCCTCTCTGCTGAGAGCTGAACACTGATCAGAACGTCCTGCCTGCGGAGAGGAGCTACCCAATGCCGGTCTTCTCTGAGCTGTTCTGTTGCTCAATAAAGCTCCTTTTTACCTTGTTCACCCTCCACTTGTCCACATACATTATTCTTCCAAGATGCAGGACAAAAACTTGGGACCTGCCAAATGGCAGGGCTAAAAGAGCTGTGGCACAAACGAGGCTGAAACACTCCCCTTGCTCACCACGTTGTGGGTGAGAAGGAGAGAAGAAAGAGGGAGAGAAGAGCTGTGGCCCTTCACGGAGCCCAGACGTAGGAGCTCTGGGAACAACCAATGCTGTGGCACCCACTTTGGGGATCTGTAGTCCCTGGCATCTCCAAGCTTCTGGGCATCACCACATTTCCTGGTGCCAGTTGTGGAAGCTGCTTGCAGTACGCCTGGTCCAGTCGCAGCCTCGCAGGGAGCCAGCTTCCATCCTGGTGCCTGGAGTTGCACATCCTGCCGCAGCCAGCCTGCCTTATTGTGCACAGTGGCCGGACGCCATGCTTCCTCACTCTCACACACCTCTTGCTGCCCCTCATGCTCTTGGCAGGCGTGGTATCCATGCCAGTAGCACAAGCCAAGCACAGCCTGCCAGGTCGTATGGGCAGAATGAGCCCAGCAGGCCCAAGCAAAATTCAGGCAAAGGAGCTACTGGACACAGAAGTTTACAGCTGGAAAAGCATCACCCCAGGAAACTCATTGACAGTAGTTTTTTTATGTCTTTGTAGCTCCACACTAATTTTAGAACCAGTTTATCAACTTCAATTAAAACAAAACAATTAAAGGAGAATTTTGGAATTTTGATTGGAATTATGCTGCATATGTGTATCCATTTGGGGACAAATAAGAATTTGACAATATTTATTTCAATCTACGTAATTGATATATGTCTCTAAATTTTAGGTTGTCTAAAATTATTGTAATAAATGTTTTGTATTTATGAGTATACTGGTTTTCGTACATTGTGTTAAATATATCTTAAACTATTTTGTCATTTAATGCTATTTTAAATGACATTTTAATTTCATTTTCTGATTTTTTTTGTTTGTTAATGTATGAAAATGCAAACAATTATTCTAGTAGATCTTTTAGGTTTCTTTTTATATTCCACCAACTATAAAGTCTTGCTTTCTCTGAAAGAATACATTTTTACCTAGTTCTTTGTAATGAGCATACTTTGAACTCCTTGTTCCCTTGGCTAGGACCTTCAGAAAAATGTTAAACTGTAACGGTGCAAGTAAGTATCCTTGCCTTCTTAATCTTGGAGGGAAAATAGTCATTCGTTCATTATTAACTACAAAGTAACAAGTAGGTTTTTCAAGGATACCTATTATGATAACAGAAAATTTTCCTTTGAATCCTAGTTTTATGATAGACAACATATTATGAACGGATGCTTTTTTTTTTTTTTTTTTTTTTTGAGACAGAGTCTCACTCTGTTGCCCAGGCTGGAGAGCAGTGGCACAATCTTGGCTCACTGCAACCTCTGCCTCCTGGGCTCAAGTGATCCTCCCACCTCAGTCTCTTAAGTAGCTGTGACTACTGGCATATGCCACCACACCTGGCTAATTTTTGTATTTTTTATAGAGACAGGGTCTCCCTATTTTGCCCAGACTAGTCTTGAACTTCTGGGCTCTAGCACTAGGCTAGCCTCATACTCCCAAAGTGCTGGGATTATAGGCATGAGCCATCGTGCCTGGGCTCACATGCTACCATGAGTGAGATCATGATATGCTTTTTCTCCTTTATTCTAGTAATATGATGAATTACATATATTTTGATTTTCAAATGCTAAACCAATCTTGCCTTCCTTGGAAAGCTAGCTTCTTCTCATAATATATTATCATTTCTATATATTATTCAGATGAATTTCTAAACATTTTGTTAAATACTTTTTTGTCTACATTCACCGTTGTCTCTCCAAATTCAGTCTTCTTAACTCCATGAGACCATCCTGCTCAGATCTGGTTATCTCTTTCCTGTACTGGGACTCAGAAAATCCAATAGTCAGAAAGCCTGGAATTGTCAATGGAGACAGTATTCCAGAGATGATTAGCAATAGTTGATACTTTAAATGAAATCAGTTCTACTTCTGATGTCTTATGTCAACCAAGACACATACTAACTATGTCACTTGGTGGGAAACCAAAACTTAATTAAAAAGATAGCAATGCATAAAAATCATATCCTTATTTCCATTACATGGCTTGTTTTCAATATTACCTACATATACTGTCAAAAATAGTATTGTCCAATTTCCATCATTAGGAGTTTTGACTTAATTATTCTGATTTACTTAAGTTAATATTGGCTTTTGTTATTCTTTTTGTTTCTGTTTTTGTTGTTAATCTCTTCAGGTGATTCTAACGTGCAGGGGTCAATTCTCCCAGAATTGGGTGGGGCATCATATATTGATTTGGGGTGAAGGCAACTAAACTCCACCTTCATCAATCTTGACTTATATGAAGGGAAAAATTCCAAGTAAATGTGTCAATTTGTCATCCTTGCTAATATGGCTTCTTATTTAACAGCCAAATAAACTAGGACTCTGGCACTGTGCACAGGAAATCAATCTGACTGTGCCTGTTTTCTAGCTCCTATTAAAAGCCTACTTCAAAGAAGTAACATAAAGAAAATATTTTAATTTATTTTTTTTATTTTATTCTCTCCTCAAAGGTATCTAAATTCTATCTTTGGAACTAGTCCATCCTTTGAAAATCTATGCATTCTAACTGCATTAGTTTTGTCCTCATAGAACCGTCATTGCAGTGTTGTGTTTTATTGTTCTGTCCTTTATTGTGTGATATAAAATCATATGAAAATGAAAATATATTTACTTTTGTATTGTAAAAACAACATTTAGGTATTTCTCACAAGTCTTTATATTTATTTTAAATTTTTATGGGACGAAGGAGTTAATAATTCAATGCAAGAAAAATATTAATTTTTCTAAGTAAGTGGTATCATATTCCATTTTAAACAATGTATATGAGAAAGCTCAGACTAAAATATAAACAACAAATATTACTATATTTTGTGTAGTTTCTAGCCACTTTTATTTTTTAACTAGTTTACAAAGATATATGTTTTATTATGTGTTTACTCCAAAATTTATATAAATTGTGCTGTCTTTGTGTATCTCTGCTGAACAATTTAAAATTCTCTTTAGGCTAGATATGGTGGCTCATGCCTGTAATCCCAGCACTTTGAGAGGCTGAGGCAGGAGGATCACTTGAGGCTAAGAGTTCGAGACCAAGTTGGGCAACAAAGCAAGACCCCTTCTTTAATAAATAAATATAAAATAAAATAAAAATCTCTTTAAAATATGTGCATTATAAATGATGCCTAAAGAGTTCACAAGAAACAAGAATAAAACACCAATGGATAAACAGCAGAATTCATTTACTATATAGAAAATTATTAGAGTTTGCAATGTTTGAGAAAAGTTAAAATCGAGTTCTTAAAATCATAATTGCAGAAGTTTATGTTTATAAAAATTAGAAAATATAAAGAAGCTAAAATAATTAAAGGAAAAAAACATACTGGAAATTCCACCACCCAGAAGTATGTATTATTAACATTCGTTAGCACATGTATCTCTAGATTTATATAGATGTTTATCTTTAAAACTTAATTTACCTTTATATTATTTAATTTCTTGTTTTTATACTTATTTAATGATTATTGTCTGCCTTGATACCCAATTCTTTATTTCCTCTTCCAACTCTTCCAATAAACTTAAATGTTGATTAATAAATCTAATATACCTATGAGAATAAATACTCTCAAGAATTGCTTGAATATTTCAGTAAAGGCAAGTTACTCTCTTTAGAAGGTTGATTATAATTTTATAATATTATTTCACTTTTGTCTTGTATTTTCCTCCATGGTGATATCTATTTCTCACTATGTATAATCAACAAAGTATTAAATATTTTTATATGCCATGGTATATAATATTGATACAATTATTTAAAATAGATATGTAAAAATCACAAAAGAACAGGAAGAAGTGATAAAATGTAGAAATACAAAGCAAAAAAATCATCAATTTTCAGGGTTTTTTTTTTTAGTTCAAATGCTGTGTTCATTTCACAGTAACCAAAAAATTTAAAAGAGCAACCATTCAATCATGGTAGATTTTATAAATCTCTATCGTTTCTCAACAGCACAATAATATTCACAGTTTTGCAGCTGACAGCATACTTGTGAATTGTTGTTTCTATTTTCAATAAAGTTGGACTTGAAGGACTAAAGCACAGTAAACCTGAATAGCAGTCTAGACTAGTGTACTTCGGTTAATTCTGTGCGTATGAAAGCTGCTGAAAATCTTCAGAAACTGTCTTATCCTCCCCGGAATTAACAAACAGCCTAAACTCTTTCACCTGACAGTGTCATTGTTCCCTTCATTTGGATTCACCAAAAGAGAAGAGCACTTAATGTAAGACATGCCTTTAAAGGATGCATAAATGTGGGGATTATCTCCCTTTTTCCAACAGTGCTACTTTATCAATTGTCATAAAGCAGAGAAACCCTCATCTTATAATAAAGAAAAGTTTGACAGCAATTTTGATAAGACAATTTTTTTAAATGCTTTTGTGGCCAAACCCATTAAAACTAAGTCTTTCTCAAACTGAGAAGCCTAAGAAGAATTAAAAAACTATGACTGCCCATGACTCAACTCTAGACAGGAAGCAAAGAGGCAGCATGGAGTCTAGATAAGAGAAATGCTCTCTCAAACATATGCAGTCTCTTAAGGAGCTAAAATCGTCTTGTAATGTTTGCACTTAATGAATTAAGAATGGATTTGAGTTGTTATTAAAATTGTCTAATGAGGTATTTTCCCTTATCAAACCTTTATGAGATATATGGTCTTAATTGAAATATTCAGTCATTAGATCAGGGCACTAAATCTTTGTATTAAATAACATGTGGTTTTTTGTTTTTTTTTCTGAGAGGGCTTTATACTATATAATTTGTCTAAATTGCCTAGAAAATAGCCTGACTTAAAGATGACATAGGCTTAATGTTCTTTTCCTTTTTGTTTTTCTATAAAAAGTAAAACAAGTTTCACCTAGGTTTATCATAAATCTTACAGTAAATATTATGCATTGTTAATGCATTTACTTCTGCTTAGTACTTACAGCTTGATGGATCCCAGATCCTTTATTACACACTGCTGCCATTTCATCTCAGAACCAGAAAATATTAAAAAGAGAAAGAAAAGAAGGAAGAAATGTAGGAAGGGAAGGGAAAAAAGTAAGAAAGGAAGGAAGGAAGGAGGAAGGAACCACATTAGCATTATTTAACAGTGAAGTTATCTGTATGTATGAATTACAAACTTTCTGCAATAGATATCCAAGTACTTATTATGGATTAAGAAAGGTACATTATGTTATCAAGGTTTAAAAGAAAGCATGATTAAAGAAATAAAAAGACATTGTAGAGTTCTTTTTAAGAGATGCCTATATTGTTTTGGAATCAGCTGTCCAGTGAGATCAGTTATCAGTATTTAGTTTCAGTACTTGTCAGGGAAAACAATGTTAATATTCCAATTGTGCTTGACTTTGCTGTGACGTCAGTCACATCACTAAGTCCCAAGGCCTCAGACTGATGAAATGGCTGACTAAATTGGAGTTTGTTTCATCCTTTCATAACTTATATGCATCCTTCCTGAGTGCTTCCTTCAGAAGAATAGAAAACATCCATGGTACTTAAAAGCATTTTTAAGTACATTTTCAAATCAGTTAACTCAGATTTACCTGTTCAGTGTTTGTTTTTCTGGTTGTAAAGAATTCTTACTGTTTTCTGGTGAGCTGAATGCAACATGACATGATAGAGCCAACAGAAAATAGAATAATCCAGAAGGAAGCTAAAAACCTGGGAGGTTCCAAATCTGAGCACCCACAGCCATCATAATTTTCTTCATTGTATTAGAAATAAACAGGTTACCTGAGTATGGAGACTTTAGCTTCATTCTCCTTCCCAGCAAATTTCCAATGTGGTATCTGAGGCTTGCATTTGGGGGAAGGTGCTCAAACAGTGTAGTCTATACATGAAAAGCACTGTAATTCTTACCATGTTGGAGTATTCCTTAGAGTGAAATAAGTAGTTGATAAAATTTATCTAATCTTTAGGACTGTTGGTTTAGAATTATCAGTTATCCACATTAATTCAAAAACTGTAATGGGATGCAGAACCAGTACAGAAACCAAATGAGGCTCCTAGTGATAAATATAAGGTACTATATAATTTTTCCTAAATTTTCAGATTAAAAACTTTAAAATACATTTTATTTCTTTATTTATTTATAGCTGTTGGGCAATTACATTATTTCCTATACTTTAGTGAGTAGGACAATTAATAATTGTCCTTACATTAATAATTACAATTAATGTAATTGTCCTTACATTAATAACTTAATGTAAGATTGCAGGCCTGAAATCAACATTTTATAACTAGAGATTTGACACAATCTTAATATTTTTCCAATTAACTATGTTGGACATTTTAAAATTCAGGTTCTACCATGAATCATTTATAATTGTGTTACAATGAACATTTCACAGTCTTTCAAATTTTCATAAGTTAATTTTTTTTAATTTTCCAGAATCAATTAATTTTACAGCCAGCTATGTATAAATATATATTTTGTTCAGCTGGTTGAGACACAGATTGAATCAAGTCAAATACTTTGCTCTTAAAAAAACTAACTGGTTTTAAGCTGTGTTAATCACCAAAGAGTCTGGTTAAAACAAGTTGAATGAATCCATGAAAATCCATCACCATGCTGGGAAGCCATACAGAATACTTTATTTATAGATGTTGTGTCAATACCGTCATCTTTGTTTACAAAAGACAGAATTATAATTAGAATCAAATAAAGTAGTTTTGGCTAATTTGCTCTACAACTCTACAAATTCATTACTAGTTTAAAGTTTAATAACTAAAGCAAAAAAAAGTCATTTCTATTGCACTCTTCCTACAGTTTTCTACATGATAATTAAAATTTTGAAAAATGACCACTTTGCCTGCCATGCTAGTAGAATTAGTGAGCATGAAATACATCATTTTGACAATATTAAAGTAGAAGAACATTTTTAAAATGTAAGATTATTTAAGACAAATGCAAAACAATGGGGCATGACATTAAAGCAAATGAGATAACATTTTAAACAGGGTGACACTTATTTTAGTGTTTTTCAAAATTTTTGAACCAAAATAGGTATAAATAAGACTAAAAAATTGATTTTTTCTCATTATTATTTGTATCTATTTGTTGTAAAATTAAGATAAAATGTAAAATAAGATTGAGAAAAAGACAGATTAAGAAAGAGAGAAAGGGGAATTGATTATTGGATACAATGCCTTCAAAATATATATTTACTCTCTTTACATATAAAGGCTGCTTATTGAATAAAGTTGGCCAATTATAACTTAAGTCCCAAAAAATATAATCTCTTATGAAAAAAGAAAACTTCATTTTAAGAACTGATATACTAAATCAATGATAAACTCTGGTAAAGTGTTCTCATTAGTAAATTTAATTTTTAGTGAACAATGTTGTAACAACTGTTTTAAAAAAGGAAAAGTTGAATCCATACCTCACTACATCTAACAGAATGACTCCAAATGAATAAGAGATCCTGAAAGCATAAACATTCTTAAAAAAATAAAAATGGGGACATGTCAGAGTACAGTGGACCTAACTAGAAAGCGGACCCCATGGGCCAAATTAGAGATAATTATTCACCACAAAAATAGTGAGAGAACCAATTATAACACACTGAATTATAACATATTATGCATGAGTTCATTGACCTACTACAAAAACAGGAAAAAAAAAGATTTGTGAAGGAGGAAAGCTCTTTGTTAACAGAATATTAGCTAAGATGTAGGAAGAAAATAGACTTAGAAAATTATCAAGGGTTCTTAAAATCCACTTATACAGGTTCTAAGCGTCATCCTACATATTATTTATATGATACCAAAGGAAAATTTTTCCTTTCCAATAGAGGGATCTAACAGATGACACCAGATAAAATGATCAAACTTAGCATCACTAATAAGGACCAAATGGTATCGTATGCCTCATAATGTTTTTCAATGCAAAATCACCCATGTAGTTTTTTGACAGACACAAAAAATGTTTAATTCAATTCTACTTGACAAAGAAAGAATTGGAAAAATTCATATTACACTATCTTGCACATAATATTTGGTTTGCAGTCTTATAAAATATCTCATGCTCTACATCCCACCTTGCTTGAAGGACCCTCTAGCATTTTTGTGACTATCCATTATGGCTTCAAAATAATTGTTTACTCATTGTGAGAAAAAATGCTTTGAAGTTTAGGCTATCTGAACATTTCTCTACTATCTATCTTCGTTTTCAGTTACAGAGACTTCACAACAACTATTGCCATTAGCCTGAATGTGTGAATTATATGTTATGTCCAGTAGCCCCATACTCTTCACTTCATTCCCAGTGATTCCCCTCTCACCTCACTTTGGTACTCCATTCTTATCACAGCTCCATCAACCTCAGCATAGCCAGAAGTACTCAAACGACAAATGTAAACTTCATTATCCAGCCTTTAATGAAAATAGACTTATTATTTCTTCTGGTTTCCTCTTTCATTTAAAATAACTGTTTTAGTATCATTGAGACCTTCAGGCCCTTGGCCTACTTTTTCCCTCAGTGTATGAACTTCAAATTCCCCATTTTCATGACTTCTTGGTATAGGTCCTAGAACTTTCCCTTCAACTTTTCTTTTCCTCAAAAACCTCAGCTTCTGGTCTCTCTGAACTTTCCATGTACATGTTCCATTGTGGATTAGTCCATCTCAGTAAAGCCAGCACTACTGTCAGCATGCTAATGCTACAAATAAATATACAATATTGTAAGGTCATTAGTATATATACCATCAAGAAGAAACCAAAAGTAATAAACAAATATCTAGTAAGTTTTTTCTAGTTAAAAATGTAATGTTTACTATAAAGGGCAGAAAATTACTTCCTTAGTGAAATAAAACATATTTAATGAGCCTAGGCAAATTTATTGAAGACAAAGAGTACCATGCACTCTTCTGCATAAGTAGGAATTTAAACTGGTACTATATTTGGGGAAAATTTTACAATATCAATATGCATTGAAATTTTTATATATTAGACTCAATAACTCTACATATGTGAATATATGTGCCAAGAAAAAATTCCGAAATATCACAAAAATGCTCGGATTGTTTACAGTAGTTCAATTTACAACTAAATATCAACATTAAGACATCTTTATATAAATTATTTTGCTGAAATACGATGGAATATTATAAAACTATAGCAACTATTTTTTACAGTGTCCTTAGAGCCTAATATGCTAGCTCTGTTCAAAAAGAATTGTTTCAAGAAATTTTGATAATTTTGCCAGAGACCAAGAGGATATTTTTGACAGAAACTGAGCTAGGGGACATTTTTCAGTCCCTAAGGCGTAAGAATGTGCCACTAGAGAGAAAAACATAATGAATACAATATCATGTTTTTCTTAACTGTGGATAAGCTGCTGTCTGAATTCACAGATTTCACCGTTCACTGCTGTGAAAGCACAGCTTTCCCCAATGACACCTTCTATTCTGTGTTCCAGGGAAATCCTGGGAAGCCTATTAAAAAGCCATTTGGGTTCTACATAAAGCTGCAATACTTTTATGAACCAAGGTGGGTCCTAGGAAAAAAATCAGAAGGGTCATATTTCTTGCATCCTGATGACCAGAGAGGAGGAGAGAGGCAAATTGGCTGTCCTTTCGGTGATGATCACAGTTTTCTACTCACTCTTCTGAGAATGTTTCACAGTGCTGCTTACGACAATACAGGGAAATCTGCAATCCACTTTCTTCTATAGAAGGAAGATAGAGGCGGCTGGTATGCTACAAAATAAGGACACCTTCATTTCTTCTTTTCTAGAACGATCTACAATCAGAAAGTGATTCAAAAGACTCTCAGCTAAGTGCTACATAATGAGCAACTCGTACTCCTCAACCAAACGGTAATATGAACGAAAGACATTTTCTATTTGCATAGAGATGCAGATTAGAACCCATCCGTGACTTCTCACTGGTCACTATGCAGGTTGAATCAATCATTTGAGGTGAAGCCAAGGGTGGCAAAAGTTCGAGTGTAAACGATGGAGTACAACCATCGCTTCTCTTGCCACTGTCAGAATCAGCATATATGCATTATTTTCTAAAAGTGATTTTCTTTTCTTTTCTTTTTTTTTTTTTTTTTTGAGACGGAGTCTCGCTCTGTCGCCCAGGCCGGACTGCGGACTGCAGTAGCGCAATCTCGGCTCACTGCAAGCTCCGCTTCCCGGGTTCACGCCATTCTCCTGCCTCAGCCTCCCGAGTAGCTGGGACTACAGGCGCCCGCCACCGCGCCCGGCTAATTTTTTGTATTTTTAGTAGAGACGGGGTTTCACCTTGTTAGCCAGGATGGTCTCGATCTCCTGACCTCATGATCCACCCGCCTCGGCCTCCCAAAGTGCTGGGATTACAGGCTCGAGCCACCGCGCCCGGCCTAAAAGTGATTTTCTTAAAGCATTCTCTTGAAATGGTCGCCCCGTTATGGTGGAAGCAAGGTTTATATGGCTTAAAGCCTGTCACCAAAGACACCAAGTTCTGCCCTCCTAATGATTGTAGCAATGCTCGTCCTGAGTGGGGAGGTGTGGGCAGTGGCGCCAGGCTGCGGGAGCAGCAGTGGCGGCAGTGGGTCCCCTGTGCCCTGCGTCCCTGAGGCGGCTGACTGCAACGCTCTCATCCTTGCTGGGCCAAGTGGAACCCGCTCCCAGGTTAGGAGCCTCTGTAGCACTGGACCCTGGTCCACTCTCGCCCGCCGCTGCTGCAGGGAGAGTAAGGGGTGGAAGCCGAGCTGGGCCCAGGGCAGTGCTGCACTCCCGGGTGCTGGCAGGAGCCAAGGACAAGCGGGAGCCCCACTGGAGCCCGTCATCCTGGGGGCCAACTCGAGGGGGCCGGCCCAGCTGCCTGCCAGCAGGGGAGCGGCACAGTCAGGCAGAGGTGGGCCCCCAAGGTGGAGCCGGGCTTGGGGCGGTGCCGCGCTTGTACGCGGAGCTTGGGGAGCTTGGGGGTCGGGCCCGGGGTGGCGGAGTAAGGAGCTGGTGCGGTGCTTTGGCGGCCCAGGGCGGAAAGTAAGAGTGGCGCGCCGCTTCAGAGGCCCAGCCAGCGACCTGGTCAGCTGCATGGCCTCCGCCCCCAGCTTACCGAGGGCGCTGGGTTCCTGGGCCTCAGGAGAAGACTCTGGGCTGGGGCTTCCTGGCCTGCATCCGCAGAGTCCGCCCCGCATCAGTGTGACCGCCAAGCCTGACACTCCGGACGGCCATGCCCGGGGCCCACAATCCTCTCCCAGAGATGCCCTTGGGCAGAGCCGCCAGCTAGATGACTGGGAGCCCCAGGCCGCCACTGAGCACTGGGGCCACGGAGGGAGGTCACAGCGATATTTCTCCTGCCCCAGAAGCCGGCCCAGGCACAGCAAGGACCTGGAGCCCCCTGCCCCAGGCTGCTAGTAGGCATAGCTAGGGCTTCCTGCATGCTCTGCAAAGTGGGTGAGAGCCCCACTTTCCCAGGAATAAGACCCGGGCATCTCTGCATTCTGCACCCTCAGGGACCCAGAAAGGCTCCCCCTTCCCCCGTAGGCTCGGGGTGTCTGCTTCCGCTCCTGGCCTCTCCCTGCTCCCAACTCCAGTTCCAATCTCAGAGTGGGGTTGGGGCCGAGCGCAGGCGCTGTCGGTGTGAGAACGCTTGGGACAGCACTGACACGCTAGCCCCATGCTGCCTCGTTCCTCTCTGGACTTTGGGTGCTGACTAGCACAGGGGGAAGCCAAGGGAGTGCTGAGGGCAGCTCAGCACTGACCTGCAGGTGGCCCTTGGTGCAAGCAGCCTGGGCACTATGAACAACAGCAGAAGGCAGACAGGCTCCTTGGCGGAAGCGAACAGGTCCCCAGTGAGGCTCCACCTTCAGGCCAATGTTGGCCTGAAGGCTGGGGGCTGGACTGCCAGTCCCAGGGACCAGAGTGGAAACCTGTGGAGCCTTTTCTGGGCCCACCCATTGCCTCCCATGGAAATATCGGTGCACACTTCCTCCCCTCTGAGGCCATGAAGGCCCTAGGCTCAACCAGGGATGAGCAGACGAGGGGATGGCCAGTTGTAGAGAGGAGTTACCCTCTCTGCTGAGAACGGAACACTTGTTGAGACAGCCTGCTTGCAGAGAGGAGCTACGCTCTCTGCTAAGAGCTGAACACTGGTCGTGAGGACCTGCTTGCAGAGAAGAGCTGCCCTGTCTGCTGAGAGCTAAACTCTCATTGGGGTGACTTGCCCAGCAAAGAGGAGCTACCCTCTGCAGGTTTCCTCTGAGCTGTTCTATTGCTCAATAAAGCTCCTCTTCCCCTTGCTCATTCTCCACTTGTCTGCATACCTCATTCTTCCTGGTCACAGGACAAGAAATTGGGACCTGCAGAATGGCAAGGCTAAAAGAGCTTGCCATTCTGTAACCCAAACAGGGCTGAAACATGCTCCTTGCTCGCCACGTTGTGGGCAAAGAGAGGGAGAGAAAAGCTATGGTCCTTCAGGGAGCCTACACCTGGGAGCTCCCTGAGCCAAGAATGTAACTCCCTCTTTGGGGCCCTGCAGTTCCTGGCATCTCCAAGCTTCTGGGCGCCAATGCACCACCATTCCAAACTGCTTGCAGTGTTGTTGGTCCAACCACAGCCTCACACAGCCGGTGACTATGCCAGGACCTATGCCGGCACCTGGAGCTGCCCTCCCAGTGGCAGCAGCCGGCATGTCGTACTGGGCAGTGGCCAAACACCAGGCTTGCTCACACCCCCATCATAGCTCCATTCCTGACTCACAGTCTCTCTTGGAGGCGTGGGATCCAGGATGGTAGAGTGAGCCATGCACAGCCTTCCAGGCCAAGTGAGTGGAATGAGCCCAGCAGGCCCAAGGAAAACTCAGCAGACCCAAGGAAAAGGTACCACCAGCCACAGGTTTCTGGTGAGAAGAGCAACACCCCAAGGATCCTGCAACACTAAGAAGCCCAATAAAGCTATAGGGAAAATGAATTCCCCAGTGAAACGGGGTCTCTTGCTGCCAGTTCCACTAAACAGAGGAAACCTATCACCAAGCCCTTCAAGTGATTAATCCTGGAGCACTGGACAGTGATGCTTTTCTTGTGAATGGAGATACAATCTCAGTCAAGGCTCATACTGAATAGGTGGCCCAGACCCAGAAGGCTGGCTTCTCTTATATAATTGGAAATGAGAGAATTCTACTTGACTAAATTACTTCTCAACCCATTATAAATGTTGGTATGAATCCATTAGTAGATGCCCTGCAGCAACTTCACTCTTTTGTATTGGTGTACATCATGTAATAAGTGATATTTATAACCTTTCCAAAATGCACAGACCAGTAGTCCAAGCATGCTTCAGTCCTTCACAGTAGTCACACCTCTACCCTAACATGTATTTGCCTAGGTGTTTTAAACATAAATCAACAATACTATACACCATGCCCACATGTATGCTTGTTTTCAGAAGAAGGTAAACTAGTGCTCAATAAAGAAAATCTTTCATATTTTGTTTGCAGTATTTCAACACAATGGTTGAGACAATTTAAACAAAAAGAAGTAATGCTGTAGACTGAATGTTTGTGTCCCCCCAAAATTTATGTGTTGAAAATCTTATCTGCAATGTGATAGTATTCAGAGATGGAGACTTTGGGAGGAAATTAGGTCATGAAGGTAGAGCCCTCATAAATGGGATTAATGCCTTTCTAACAAGAGACAGGGAAGAGCTTGCTTCCTCCATCTCTGCTAAAGATCAAGGAATTTAAACCTCAAATATAGCACCCTGGTATGCTGATTATTTTAAATTAAAGGCTCTTGGAATCCAGCAGATACTACAAGAAGGTTTACTCTGATATTCTCTTATTTGCTTAAAGTTCAGACCAACCAAGGAAGAAAACAACTACTTTAGGTTCCTCCCCTGAGTTTTCATTAACTTAAGCCATCTTGCAGAAAGACTGAAGTATGTTACACTTGGACAGACTTTTGTCACAAACCATTTTCTGCTTTGTGGGCCCAACAGACGTGGTTCCAGGCCACTGTGTGTTCTCCAAGCCCATTGAATCCCCTTAAAAATAATAATATCTCCTTTAAAATCATCCATATTTCCCCATCTCCCTTTCTCCTATGAAAAAAAAAGAAGTATATAAGCATCTACAATTAAGTTATTGAGTAATTATTGAGTTATTGAATAATTTTTCTGCTGCAATTGGCATGTGCTATGCACATTAAAATAAATTTCCTATTCCTTTTTTCCTGTTAAACTTTTGTCAGTTGATTTTTAGTGAAACTTCAGAGGGCAAAGGGGCAGCTTTCCCTTCACCTCTACACTATTTTCCTCCATGTTAAGGCACAGCAAGAAGACAGCCATTGGTGAAACAGGAAGAAGACCTTCATCAGAACCCAATCTTTGTGGCACCCTAATCTTGGACTTCCCAACCTCCAGAGTTATGAGAAATAAATTTATGTTGTTTAAGCCATTCTAGTCTATAATATTCTGTTACAGCTACCCAGACTAACTGAGACAACTAGAAATCTCAGAATTGTACAAATGCAGCTGATCCTGTTTACTCTGTTCTTTAAAATCCCAAAATTGTATTTACCAGGCAGTCATAAATACTTTATAATTTCAGGGATTAGGATAAATCACCCCACATCAAAAGAGCCTTTAACTGAGTAATTCTACAACAGTTGGGATTAGGCCAGGTAATCAATTCTAAATAAACAACCGGCTGCTAAATACAGCAGTGTCTCTTCCTCCTCTATTCTCCTTACATTGGATTTATTCCTCAAATTCACACGTCAACCATATCTACCTCCTTGTTATAGCTATAAAATCTTGTTTAAAAATCTAGACATGTCACTGCTTGCTTTAAACTCTCATTATTTGCTCTCTCTCACCCCTTAAAAATCAATAGCAATTTTTAAAAAAACTTATTTTCATTAAAAGCATATAAAATTGAGATTTTCTAAAAATGAAACAAATACATAACATTGCTTACACATGAGAGTCAATTTTACAAGTAATAATGGCTTTTAAATGAGAAAATGCTTTCGGTGCCAGGACATATGACTCAGGTATGGTCAAATAATTATCATATTGTTATCAAAATTAACACAAGGGGTCATATAATGTCACAGGGTTTATTTCTACTCTATATAATCATATCTCCATGCATTATGTATATTTTATGTATTTTAAATAACAGTTCAGGATAAGTTGGACCTTATCAAAATAATGAGGTTTTACAAAAATCTGTTGAGTGGTGATTTGCAACTAGATAATCCACAATTCTTTTCCATGATTGATGTGCCACACACGAGTAACCCTAAAAACGTAAAAACTTTAGCATTGAGGCCATTCGTAGGGGAGACTTGTTACTTAACATTTACATTTTTTTCTATTGAAAGGTTCTTCATGGTGAGAACCTATGAAAGTTCATGCCTGCTAATTCATTGCAAGTGTGTCTGATGCCCATAATCCTAAACATAAATTCATTAAAGAAAGCACCCAAGCTGCTTTGACCCGGCCTAGGCATTTCTTTTTTTAACAGTTCCATGGAACTTTTTCAAGAAGTTCAATGCTGCTCTACAGTATAAGATTATTCTGTAATAAAAACAAAACGTTTTCCAGCTCTTTTTATTTTTTAAATATCTTCACATTTAAAAAGTAATATGACATAATCATTATAATAGCATGGGTTCTGAAGCTAAATCAAAATCTGGGTGTAAAACCTATCTCTACTCTCTTTGTTACATTTAGCACGTTATGTAGCGTTTTTCTCCTCTTCAAAATGGGCGTGATAATAGTACATACTTATTTCCCACCGCTGCTATGATCAGTAAATAGGATAATTAATTTTAAGCACTTTGAGTCTAGTGCATTTTTAAAGCTAGAGGTAATTATTGATTATTCTCATAACAGTTTTATTCAATCAGTATCTGCTGATCATCTATTACGTGGAACACATTCTGCTAGGTCTTGCAGGGAGTTAGCCCTGGTAAGCACAGTAAGTTTAACTATAAAGAAAATTGGTAATTTACAAGATTCTAATACTTAAAATTATTTTAGCATTCTAGTAGATATTTTTCTAAAAACTATTTCACAAATATAAACTCTCATTGCTAAAAATAATATTAATGTCTATAGATCTGCTTCTAAAGACATAGTTTAGTAAAATAAAAAAATAGGCATGGCAGACATACTTATCAAACTTATAAAGCTCTCATGTAAGTTATATCACTGTATTGCAGTTGTTATTTCATGTTGGCAACCATGGGCTGTTTTCATCATAATATAATGCATCAAAGTCTCTCAATTGACTAAACACAGGCAAATGGCACAGCAGCAGGATACACAATATTCTAGAAAAGCTTTAAATGTTCTGGAGAAAAGACAAGTTGCAAAATGTTGTGACTGTGTCAAGATCTTCTTGTGAAACATAATTAGCTGAATATGAGAGTAGGCCAGTGGTCAGACTTGCTACCGTGTACCTAACCATTAGAAATAGCCTTAGGGAGCCAAAAACTCCATATTCTAAACCAGATTGAAGGAAGACTATGAATATGCAAATAGGCCTCCCACAACTGCATGGCTTAAAAAGCAATAAAAGTAAAACAAAACAAAAAACAAACAAACAACTCCAAATTTAATCTGCCTTAGGAACAGTTTTCTATCAGTATAATTGTCAACCCCAGTATACATGGATCTTGTGGAAAGTAAATGTGTTTTCAAGATATGTCCAACATGGTCACTGACGACTGAAAACATTATCATGTTCACATCGGTATTTACCACGTAAAAAAATGATAAAAAACCTTTGTATGCAGTTACTTCTGTAGTGGTTTTATAACAATGGAGATGTTACATGGCTTATGAAATTTAAAATACAATTATGTTGAGCACTGACACGCAATATGTGAATTATCTTTGACAATGATTTGCTTTTCTGATAAAAATGTTATTTGCTCATAGAGGTACAATGTGTATATTTAAAATTTACTCTTCATTTCACGAGTAATGCATGATAATTTAACTCATACTGCAATTTTTAAAAAAGTGCATGTTTTATAATTTTGCATGTTTCACTGGAAGGTGAGTTTTACTTGCATGTTTCACCAGAAGGTGAAAGAGATCTGCTAAGGTGTGATTGCATGTTTCACCAAAAGGTGAAAGACCTGATAACTACAAAACACACCTAGAAAGAGTAAACTGTGCCTGCCCTCTGTTGCAGGGGTTCCATCAAGATTTATACAGTACTAGTGTTTCAGTCTCCTTTTGCCCCTGGTGTTCAATGAGGTCTGGGCTCTTGTCCCACAGCCAAGAAGAGTAAGGCACATGGACACTGGGGAGTAAGTAAGATAGAGTAGGATTTATTAAGTGAAAGGAAAGCTCTCAGCTGTGAGAGGGGACCCTGAAAGTAGGTTGCTTCCAGGGTATCTGTGGTTGGGGACCTTCATGTGGAAGAAATAAGGAAGTCTTCTGTGGGTTTTGCCTTAATGGGAGGGGTAAAATTCCCTCCTAGGGTTATTGCATCTGCGCTTGCCTGGGGTTGGCCATAGTGACTCCATCTTAGTTGTTACCTATGAGTGGCTAAGCAAAACCCATGGGTGGGGGGACTAAAACCACAATGCTAATGTCATGTTAATGATGTTATAATGAGCTGGGTTAAGTTAATGACATTTAGATTGATTTATTGTGCCTTCACCTAGGTTAGGACAGTCCTTCTAAGCAGACATCCTGGCATAGGAGGAAGCTCTTAACCACATTTCTTTTGCTAGCTGCAGAGGCAGTGTTGGTGCTGTCCCGCAGGTGTTCCTGTGACTATTGCCTCTCTCCCGAGACCTCCCTCTCTGTCTAACCAGTCTCTAACTGCCTCCTCTCTCACTAGCATGTTCTGCTTCTGATTTGGCTTTGTAATTTCTGCAAGATTTTCAAAGCACAATGACATTGGTTTTCTAATGTAAAAAACTGGGTTCCAGAGCTAACATTCAATGATTCTACCTTTATAGCCAATACAACAATAACATTTTAATTTGAAAATATTTCAGAGAGCTTTAATATGCATAGATTTCCATATTCTATCCCAACAAACTTTTTGATAAGTGCATGTTTCATCCCTCAAGCAAACTTTAAATTGTTTTGGCTATAGATTAAAATTCTGACTTATTCACTAGTTATTTTATGATCATATTCTGAGTTGAATTTGCCAGCCCCCCTAAATTATGTTACCGATATGTTGAACTCCTACCTCTCAGTACCTCATTATGTGATCTTATTGGAGACAGAGTCTTTACAGATATAAAATGATGTTGCTGTAGGATTTTTCTTGGCCCCTTTGCTGGACTCATAGCAGGGGCTTGCTATGCTCAACCCCTTAGAAGAGGGAGCATGTGAGTGAGCAAGTGCAGGATCTGGCCAGCCACTCCAGGTGCCAAACACAGGAGCAAGCTCTGTACAGGGCCCATGGCCAGAGAAGGTGCTGGTGAGTGAGTGTGGGATCCTGCCAGTCGCTCCAGCCGCTGACACAGGAGTGAGTTCTGCAGGGCCCACAGCCAGACAAGGTGTATTGCCTCAAGGGGAATGTGGTAGTGCCCAAGTGAAGGTGCCTGTGGCCCCAAAGCAAAGTTACAGTGCTCATGTGGTTCTGCCATCCACGAACAGGAGTGTGTTGGCAGCTCAGTTGGCCCCTTGCCTCATTGTATGGGGCAACTGCCCTCCGCCAGTGAGGGCAAAGGGCCGGTGTGACAGCCTTTCTGGTTACCCACAACCAGTGGTTCCCGAGCTCTTTTCTGGCATCCAAGAAGAATGAGATTATGCAGACAGTTGACGGATGGTGAAGTCAGAGAATTTTATTGAGTGATGAAAATGGCTTTCAGCAGAGAGGGGAGATGGAGGGAGGACAGGAAGCACAGGTCATCTTCCCCAAAGTCAGGTTGTCTCTTCCCTGAAGTCAGGCTGTCTCCCCTTCTACTGACTGAGTCTGTGGTCTTTATAGACACAGGATGGGGAGTGCATGCTGATTAGTTGTGAGTATGCAAAAAAAGGTTAAAGCAAAGATACCACTCAAAGGTGGGCACAACAGTGTAGAAAACCAATTAGTAAGGGGTAGGTATATGTAAAATAGGTAAAGGGTAAGGATAAATCAGAGGAAAGCACACCAAATGTGAAGACAGTTTCTCAACTTGGTCCAAGGATTTAATTTGTACCTTGGCTCTCAGGCTTTAAACTATCTTTGGCTCAGAGGTAGGGTTTCACCAGGGGCCCGCTCCTCTCTGCATAGGCATTTGACAGTCTCCTGCTGCTCTCTATGTCGTTATGGTGGATCCTAATATGATTGATCTTATTTTTTTTAAAATAGGGGAAATTTGGAAAACACACACACACACACACACACACACACACACACACGGTGAATGCCATATAAACATGAAAGCGGAGATGAGGGTGATGTTTCTCCAGGCCCAGGAGTCCCAAAGATTGCCCGCAAACCTCCAGAAGCCATGGGAGAGATCTGGACTTCAGAAGTAACCACGCCTGTCCGTACCTCGAGGTCAGATGTCTAACATCCAGAACTGAGACAATAATTTCTGTTGTTGAAGCCCCACTGTCTGTGGAACTTCCTTATAGCAGCTGTAGCAAATATACAAATCATGCCAAGCTAAAAAGAGAAAATACAGATGAACTAATTATATTGTTGATTTTCCTTTAACATAACTATTTGTTCCCACCAAGAATTTAGTTTCTTATCTCTAAATGATTCAAGTCAAAAATTAATCAATGACTTGGGTCACTTTAGCTGTTACTTAGAATTACCTTCCATACTGACTTTGGGGGGTAGGGGCCTGGGGCAATCCCTCTCTGGCCTCTGGTTGACACACGCGCTAACTGGAGCTGTTGATGATTAATGCTACACATCAGGTCAGCTCCTTCCTGCTCATGTATCATAAAGGTCTCCCGCAGCTCCCAGCAGTATCATACTAATTCAGTGCCCTAGCAAAATTAGCAGCAGGAAACAAACCTTTGTAATTTTCTTCCTTTATAAATAGCATTGTTCCTTCAGTAAAGGATAGCAGCTCCTGCTGTAATTGTTTCTGCACTGAAAAGTTACTTTCTTTCCATCAGTGTTAAAAATCAATCAAATGAGTGTATATAAAATTAACCAGCCTACTGAGAAAGAGAACATTCCTTTTACTTTTGAACTCTTCTGATTTCATCTCTCAGAGTGGGTCTATTGTACTGGTATTTTTTAGGGAGCACTCAATACTTTTAATGTGCCTTGAGGTTGTCATAGGAGAGAGAGGAACAACAGACGGAGCGTGAATGATCCTATGACACTGGTTTTTGGTGCTTTTTTTTCTCTCAAAATTTATTTTATTCTCAGCAAAACAGTTAATAATGACATTTGAATGTGAAATCCGGGACTTTATGGTTCTTGAACATGAGTACAGAAATTATAGACCAAAGGTTGTGTTATGTATAGAAGGCAGTTATATAGAAACTGTAATTTCTTGGTGTGCAAGGGAATTCATCACAAGCATCCTCTGAGGTAGTATAATACATCATCTTCAAAATTGACTGGAAGTTTAATGGACATAGACCACAGTAATTTAAGAGCTTAGCATTTTTTCTCACATTGCAATTGTTGTGGAAAAAAAATATCATGTGGGTGTCAACCCACTTCTACTTAATCTTAACTCCAAGTAAATAAAATTGGAAAAAAAAACTTTTTTTTTTTTTTGGAACGGAGTCTGGCCTTGTCGCCCAGGCTGGAGTGTAGTGGCGCAGTCTCGGCTCACAGCAAACTCTGCCTCTTGGGTTCACGAAATTCTGCTGCCTCAGCCTCCTGAGTAGCTGGGACTACAGGTGCCTGCCACCACACCCGGCTAATTAAAAAAATAACTCTTAATATAGACAATAACAAAGTGATCCAAAAGAAACACTTAATACAAACAACAGTTAAAAGGAAAAATATTTACAATAACAAAACATAAAAACCCAAATGTTAGAGAATGAGGATGAAAATCAATAAAAGTACATTTATCATTACATTTAGTATACATAGAATTGGCTGGGCATGGTGGCTCATGCCTGTAATCCCAGCACTTTGGGAGGCCAACGCGGGTGGATCACAACGTCAGGAGTTTGAGACCAGCCTGACCAATATGGTAAAACCCTGTCTCTACTAAAAATACAAAAATTAGCTGAGCATGGTGGTAGATGCCTGTAGTCACAGCTACTCGGGAGGCTGAGACAGGAGAATTGCTTGAACCCGGGAGGCGGAGGTTGCAGTGAGCCGAGATCGTGCCACTGCACTCCAGCCTGGGTGACAGAGCGAGACTCCGTCTCAAAAAAAGAAATAAAAAAAGTATACATAGAATTAAGAAAGATTGTGGGCGAGGCATGGTGGCTCACACCTGTATACCAAAGCCTATCATGAGCCTAAACTGAACTCTTTGTCAGGTTGTAGGCATTTATGGACTTTTGGGAGAGAACTGAGGTGCCAGGGCAGACCTTCAAGCAAAGGAGATTAGAAGCCTCTTGGGAAAGAAACAAAGTCCTGAAGTAGAACTCTCCAAGGAGAGTCTTGCACACCTGCCTGAAATCACAAGATGGTAGCCTTTCAGTCTCTGGGTTTTATAAGTGCTATCTGTTGCTTAAAATTCACATTTATCCCCATCTTCACTATACCATGCCCCAACACCTACGGGCTCATGACTGACTTTAAGATCGAGATAAGTCTGTAAATAAAAACTGAAAAGGGTGTTTTTGTTAAATTTCCATTATATGTCTAGAGAAAAATTAGCATTGTTTTGAAACTCATCTAGCATAGTGAAACTGCAAAATGTAAGAGAAACATCACTATCCCTGTATTGGCATAGAACACAATACTGTATTCAGGAAAACTCTGTAACTCATTCTAAAGGTCCAGGGTCCAGCATTCTTGTTCCAAAGGCACGGGGTGCCACAGCATAGCACTGCCTCATATAATGATAATGAAAGCAGATGCTAAAAGCTGGTGTCATTAAACGGTTGAGTTTGTTTTGTAGAAACAGCTCAGGAACAAATACTGATGACAGTTTGCAGGCACTTTCAGGGAAGAGTAGCTTTAATAAATGAGTATGATAAAAAATGATTTGCATTGTAAAACAAGTATTTTTCCTTTAAAAATTTAATTTAAGATTTCTACATTCTATTCTATAATTTTCTGTTTTGCTGTAAGCTTACCTTACTTTTATATTACAAAATGTTAAAAAATAATATTATACTAGCAAAATTTTGGAAAGAAAACTTGCCCTAAGTTGAATCTTCCTGCTAGTTTGTGAAGAAATGAAATAATTGCTCTATGACAATAGATTTTGTTCTACACAGTGTCATCCAAAATCAGAAAAATAGTGCTATATTCAACAACTATTTGTAATGTTAATTCAAAAACTGCAATCATAGAGACGGTTCAGGATCAGGACAGTGTTATTTAATATTGTGTTCACATCACTGAATTTTTGAATGGCACTAAATTGGGTGATTTGTCTGAACTACCTGGTTGTTTTGGTATCATGCAAACATCTTGCTAAAGGGACTCTATTTATATGCTCTCTTGTGATGAAGTTGGGTTATACATTACTATGAGCAATTACTAATAGCATATTAAATTTTAAAGACCGATTTTATCTACCAAGTCAGGAGAAGTGATAGGTCATGAATTTAAAATAGGAAAGTAAACATCCAAGTTTTTTTTCAAACTTGACTTCCATGTTTTAGCTGCAATTTCTTACCCTTATATAATACTCTCTAAAATAGGCAATTTACTTCATCAAGGCAATAATTTAACTAACATTGTGTTTAACCTCTAATGACCAAATATACAAAAAAGAAAAAATACCCACAAAGGTAAGTATTCTTTAGGCTTAGCAAAAGTGACTTGCTATTAATATTATTCTCAATTTGTTTCGAACCTGTTGAGTTGAGCAAAACGGCATGAATGAGGTCCTAGCTGAGATTATTTATTGAAGCAAAAAAAGAATTAGAAAGGGTGGTGACACATATATCATTGCCACTGTTACAAACAGCTTCGAAAATCCAGTCTCAGTTGAGTATATTAAACTCTATGAATGACTGGGCAGGCAAAATTATAGTCCACTAGGATAATTATAGTTCACAGTCATATCTAATGGGATCTGCATAAATCAGGCTATTGTTTGCCACAAAGTGTATTTATACTTGTCAAATGATTGTAATTGGACATTTACAAAGGACCATTTCAATTTATAAACATGACTTTTTAAATGAATATTTATAAAGCACTTGTTAAAGAAAATAAATTTACTCAGGTAATTTTGAACTGTGATTTTACAGCATGTAATGTAAAACCATCTCTTACTAAGAAAATCTCC